>NC_000012.12:107763158-107914673 GCF_000001405.40 Homo sapiens
ATTTCTTTCTTTTTTCTTTCTCTCTTTTTTTTTTTAGACAGAGTTTCACTGTCACCCAGGCTGGAGTGCTGTGCTGTGGTCTCAGCTCACTGCAGCCTCTGCCTGCTGGGTTCAAGTGATTCTCCTGCCTCAGCTTCCCCAGTAGCTGGGATTACAGGTGCTCACCAGCATGCCTGGCGAACTTTTGTATTTTTAGTAGAGATGGGGTTTCACCATGTTGGCCAAGCCGGTTGCGAACTCCTGACCTCAAGTGATCCACCTGCCTTAGCCTCCCAAAGTGCTGGGATTACAGGCATGAGCAACCATGCCTGGCCAGCAATTTCTTATACCTCTTATACCATCCAATTCTCCACACTCCTTAGGTATTTACCAAAGAAAAATAAAAACATATGTACAAAGACTTGTACGCCAATGTCCATAGCTGCGTTATCTGTCATAGGCCAGAACAGGAAATGACCCAAATGTCCATCAACTGGTAAATGAATAATGATAGTGTACAGTATCTATACAGTGGAATACTCAGAAATAAAAAGGAACAAGCTGTTGATACATGGATGGATCTCAAAGACGTATTATGCTAAGTGAAAGGAACCAGACACAATAGACTACATATTATGAGTCCAGGTATGAGAAATTCTAGAAAAGGCAAAACTGTAGTAATAGAAAGCAGAGAAGTGATTGTCAGAAGTTGGGAATGGGTTGGGGGATGAGATTGCCTACAGTGGGGGCATAAGAGAACTTTTAGGAGTGATGAAAATGGTCTTGATTGTGGTAGAGGTTACACAATTGTATACATCTGTCCAAATTAATCAAATAGTAAACTTGACATTGGTGAATTTTATTGTATGTAAAAATACCTCAAAAATTCAATTAAAAAATTATGTCAAGATTAACAAAAATTGAAGTGTTCTGACTCTACTCCCCAGACTAGGCCCACTGTATGCTCTCTCATAGTACCTATCTTTATTGTAATTAATTGTTTAATTTTCTATTTTGCCAAATACATTTTAAATTTTGGGGAGAAGATTCATGTCTATCTTATTTAATGCTATACAACATAGCACTATACCTGGCATATATTAGATATTCAATGAATTTCTGATGCCTGAGGGAAAGTCAAACTGGCATAATTTGAAGCCACACATATTGACTCATATATCTATTTACTTGGAGATGTACAGCAAATGTTTGCTCAAAGATTGCCTTAACTGCTGATTTAGGGTGACTTACCCCTTTAAGGAGACTCCATGGTGCTGTTAAGACAATAAAGACAATGGAAAGGCCAGACACAGTGGCTCACACCGGTAATCCTAGCACTTTGGGAAGCCAAGTCTGGTGGATTTCTTGAGTCCAGGAGTTCAAGATCAGCCTGAGCAACATGATGAAACCTTGTCTTTACAAAAATCAGCCCGGTATGATGGTACATGCCTGTGGTCCCAGCTACTTGGGAGGCTGAGGTAGAAGGATACTTTGAGCCTGGGAGGTTGATACTGCAGTGAGCTGTGATCAGGCCACAGCCACTGCACTCTGGCCTGGGCGACAGGGCAAGACACTTCCTCAAACAACAACAACAACAAAAATGGGAGAAACTGGCCAATCACACAGGTAGAAATGAAGAGCGTCGGTGTGGCAGAACAATGAGGATATGTTCTGAGGAATGCAACCTTAGGTGATTCTGTGGTTGTGCAAACATCATAGAGTGCCCTTACATATACCTAGATGGTCTAACCTACTACACCCCTAGGCTAGATGGTATGGCCTATAGCTCCTAGGCTACAAACCTGCACAGCATGTTACTGTACTGAATACTCCAGACAACTGTAACATCGTGGTATTTGTGTATCTAAACATATCTAAACATAGAAAAAGTACAGTAAAAATACAGATAAAAGATTAAAAAATGGTATGCCTGTATAGGGCAGCTTCATTATAATCTTATGGGACCACTCTTGTATATCCAGTCTGTCGTTGACCAAAACATCATTGTATGGCACAGGACTGTATTAGTATGACTGTGAAATAATGATGGAGAGTATAGTCAAGGGTAGAGCTTAGAGGTAATATCAGTGAAGACAACCAGATAACAACCACTAAGATTTTTCCTGGACATCAGGGATAGACACAGAGAGCAAATTACCTTTAAACATTATTTCCTAGCACTAAAGACGAGAACAGTAATGGGTAAACTTGGCCCCAGATTTAGCTGATCAGGGTATCTTACTTTTAACTGACCCTAATTAAGTTTTCAAATCTTGCTTCCTATTCCTTATGGTAAGGAGGATCTGGAAATAAAGACCTTTTATGTGGGTAAACCTGCTCTTTGGCATTCTTGGGATTCCTGCCCATAAGTTTGATACAATTATAATGTATAATGTAAGGACTGACCTCCTTTATTTAATATTTGCAGAGAGGCATAGAGTTTATTCTACAAATGTTTGTTGAGTGTCTACTCTGTGCCAGGCATTGCTCTAGGAACTGGGAGTATATAGTAAACAAAACAGGCAAAAAATACCAGTTCCTCTGGAGCTTACATTATAATGGAAGAAGATAGATAATAAAGAAATAAATAATTAAAATACACAATATTCCAGATAGCAATAAATAACATTAAAAAAAAGAATGGCTGGAAAAATGGACAGAAAATGCCTGGGGATGGGCCTGCAATTTTAATAGGGTAGACAGAGAAGTCATCACTCAAAAGGTGACATTTGAACCAAAGGAGAGGAGACAGTGATCCATGCAAACATCTAGAGGAAGAATATCTCAATCAGAAAGAAGGTCAAGAGCAAAGGCCCTGAGGCAGGACACTGCCTGGCAGATTTGAGAAATTGCAAGGACACCAGTGACTCTAGAACTGTATTGCCTAGTGTGGTAGCTGCTACCCACCTGTGGCTATGGAGCCCCTGACATGGGCCTAGTTTACATTGTGCAATTATTTTAGAGTGGGAAGTAAAATAGAGAGATTTTGTCAATAGCCCCAATTCTTCACTCCTCTCGGTAGCCAGCCTTTTTTCTCTTGGGAAGAAGTGGAGTCTATTTTTCTGCTCCTTGATTCTGAGTTTGCCATGTGGGACATATGCTTGAACTGAGCCGCGGTCAGGCCAAATCACTGATCCTCAGGCTCAAGAGCTAAATAAGTGCTTAGCATTTTATTGACGGCCATTCTGAGGAGGCTGCCCCCCTTATCTTGGCTACCTCTGAGTCTCTGCTCTGATCTTAGGAAACTGATACAGGGGTATAGAGGATTAAGCACTGGTACTTGGAACAGTATTTCTCTTAATGTCCCAAGTACTTTTTCAACTCCTCTAAAAGCTGTAGAATTACTTGTTTTCTAAATGCAGTGTATGTGGTAGTAGAACTGGGGTGATCTTGTGTGTTCTGTTAGCTCTTACGATTTTTTTCTTTTTTTGAGACAGAGTCTTGCTCTGTCGCCCAGGCTGGAGTACAGATGGCGTGATCTCGGCTCACTGCAACCTCTGACTCCTAGGCTCAAGCAGTCTTCCCACCTCAGCCTCCCGAGTAGCTGGGATTACAGGCATGCACCACCACACCCAGCTAATTTTTGTATGTTTTGTGGAGACGGGGTTTTACCATGTTGCCCAGGCTGGTCTTGAGTGATCCTTCTGCTTTGGCCTCCCAAAGTGCTGGGATTACAGGCATGAACCACCATACCCGACCAAGTCTTAGGACTTTAAAGGGTGAACACATATGGTTTCAAACTAATTCAGTTTCTCAGATCTGAAGGAACTGCTAATTTCTGTGAGGATCACGCAGAATGAATCTACACTCTACTCAGTCTTTTGAACAACACCCCTCTAACTAGACTGAGCAGAATCAGAAATCAAAGAGTGAGCAGAAATAAACACAACATCATCAACACCACAACACAGAAGACTTCTGTGACCAAATGTGGGGTGGTTTTCCCCACACACCAAGCAAGCAATCAGTTCTGCAACACACACCAACTGGGTACCCTCCAATTTAATTCCAACACTATCTACCTGGAGATAGCGTCAGATCCCACAGGTTGAGGGATCAGTCCCATCAGACTTCCCCCCAACCCTTCCTCATCAGACACCAGTCACAAGTCCAGGCCTGTGGAACTTCTGACCAATTGGCTTCAAATTGGGATTTCCATGACCCCCTCTTTGGGTCCCATTAATTTGCTAAAGTGGCTTACATAACTCAAGGAGACACTTAACTTACATTTACTGGTTTATTACAAAGGACATTACAAAGGATACAGATGAAGAGATGCACAGAGCATGGCACAGGGATGGGGTGCAGAGCTTCCATGCCCTCCCTGGGCGTGCCACCCTCCAGGAACCCTCAGGGGTTCAGCTATCCAGAAGCTCTCCAAACTCTGTCCTCTTGGGCCTTTAACGGAGACATTATTGGATAGGCATGACTGACTACCATGTAGAAATGTAATTGGCCCGAAAAGCATGTGATCGAATACTAATAAACTCAGTGGGGAAACCCAGCAAGGCCTGTCTGTTCACATTCTTCCTAGTCTCTTCCATGCAGCATTCCTTCCTCCAGCGGATGGGGCAGGACTCCTGAATTGAGGGTCTCATGACCCACAATTACAAAGGTGGTGGAAGATAAGAGTTCTGCTGTGGGCTGGTGAAAGAAGGGCAGGGGAAGTTCACAGAGACAGAGAGAGTTCTGTTTTCTGAGGCCTGCTTCTGAGTGCCCTAACATTATAACGAAAGACTGTAACAAGAGCTAAGGGAGTTATAAGCCAGGAACTGTGGACAAAACCCAATATATCATAATATCACAGAGGGGAAATGATTTGTAGGAGTTTAGCCAAAGAAATTTTAATGTTGATATCTCTGAATTTTAACCTAAAAGGATAAGGTTATTTAAGCTTTGGGTTTTAATTTATGCCTAGCAATTTGAGAATGAGGATTTTTTTTTAATTTGGAGGATTGTTCTATGGGTAATTTATTTGACTGCATAACCTCAGGCCAACTATACTGGAATGGCCTTCATTAGAAATAGCAAATAAAATCAGGAGTGAGTTTTTGGCCTGGGGTCCACCATATTTTGGGGTTAATTTAACAGATGTACTGTTCTGATTCATTTTAGAAGTTTAAGGGGCAAAAATTAAACTGCCTATCTGTGAGTCTAAGATGATAAACAAAGGAGCAGTAGTTGCCATTGAAGGAAGCTGGAAACTCAAGAAAGAAAGACAAGATCATTGTCTTTGTTAATGGCCTCCTAAAATTCCAACAGCAATGATAAAAGAAATGAAAAAGTAACTGAAAATTTACCTCCAAAGAAGGTCCATAGCCGGGCACAGTGGCTCACACCTGTCATCCCAACACTTGGGAGGCTGTGGCAGGTGGATCACCTGAGCTCAGGAGTTCGAGACTAACCTGAGCAACACATTGAAGCCTCATCTCTACAAAAAATATAAAAATTAATCGGGTGTGGTGGTACACGGTTGTGGTCCCAGCTACTCAGGAGGCTGGTCAATTGAACCCAGCAGGTTGAGGCTTTGGCGAGCCAGGATCATGCCACTGCACTCCAGCCTGGGTGACAGAGCAAGACTCTGTCTCAAAACAACAACAAAAAGTCCATATGCCATATGTTTTTTGTTTTAGCAACTCTCCAAAGAACAGATAATTTTCATCTTTTACAAATGGTTCCAACACCTAGAAACAGATGGAAAGCTGCTCAACTTATTTTTAAGAGTTTGAAATAATGCTGATACCAAAAAAGGAGAGCACAAGAAAATAAAACTATGAGCCAATATAACTGGGGACTATAAGAAAAAAATTTCTAAATAAAATATTAACAAATTGAATCCAGCAGTGTATAAAAGAATTATGACTCCATAGGATTTTATTCTAAGAATGCAAGGTGGCTCAATGTTAGAAAATCTATTATAGCAATTCACTACAATAACAAATAAAAAAAGAAAATACATGATTATAGATGTTAAAAAGAATTTGATAAAATTTAGTAGCTCTTTCTGAAAATAACAAACAAATTTCCTTAACTTGGTAAAGAATATCTACTAGATAGGGAAACATTAGAAGCTTTCTTATTAAAATACCAGGATGGGCTGGGTGTGATGGCTCACACACACCTGTAATCCCAGCACTTTGGGAGGCCCAGGCAGGTGGGTCATGAGGTCAAGAGATCGAGACCTTCCTGGCCAACATGCTGAAATCCTGTCTCTACTAAAAATACGAAAATTAACTGGGCATGGTGGTTCATGCCTGTAGTCCCAGCTACTCAGGAGGCTGAGCTGGGAGGATGGCTTGAGCCTCGGAGGCGGAGGGTGCAGTGAGCCGAGATTCTGCCAGTGCATTCCAGCCTGGGTGTCAGAGTGAGACCCCATCTCTCAAAAAAAAAAAAAAGTCATCTTGAGTGGGTGTTATTTCACAAGTGTATGCATGTATTCAAAGCTCATTAAGTTGTATATTTAACATCTGTGCATTTAATCTATGTAGATCTTATCATGATTAAAAACCTTTAGAACTAATAAGAGAGTTTAGCGAAATGACTAGATTAAAGATTAACATAAATCAGTAGCTTTGAATAACAGAAAAAAATCTTATTCACTATAGCAACAAAACCTATAAAACATCATGAAATAAGCATAATAAGATATGTTCAAGACCTACATGGAAAAATATTTGAAATTAATTAATTAATTAATTTTTATTTTTTGAGATGGAGTCTTGCTCTGTCACCAGGCTGGAGTGCAGTGGCGCGATCTTGGTTCACTGCAACCTCCGCCTCCTGGGTTGAAGTGATTCTCCTGCCTCAGCCTCCCGAGTAGCTGGGACCACAGGCACGCGCCACCATGCCCAGCTAATTTTTGTATGTTTGGTAGAGACGGGCTTTCACCATGTTGGCCAGGATGGTCTCCATCTCTTGACCTAGTGATCCGCCCGCCTTAGCCTCCCAAAGTGCTGGGATTACAGGCGTGAGCCATGGCACCTGGCCAAAATTTACCAAAAAACAAAAAAGAAGACCTGAAGAAGTGAGTTCTATTATGTGCATATATGGAGCTATGCAATGTTTTTTTTTTAAAAAAAGGTAATTCTCACCAAATTAATCTTTTAAATGGAGACAGGGTGTTGCTCTGTTGCCCAGGCTGGAGTGCTGTGGCATGATCACAGCTCACTGCAGCCTCGATCTCCAGGGCTCAATCAATCCACCCCCCTTAGCCTCCTGAGTTGTTGCGACCTCAGATGCATGCCATCATGCCTGACTATTTTTTGTATTTTTTTGTATTGATGGGGTCTCCCCATGTTGCTCAGGCTGGTCTTAAACTCCTGGGCTCAAGTGATCTGCCTGTATAAGCTTCCCAAAGTGTTGGAATTACAGGTATGAGCCACTGCACCTGGCCCAATTTCTTTCTATTTAACACAGCCTCAGTTAGAATCTCAAGTGGTAATTTCTTCCTCATGGATATTAAAAGTGCACGTTGTGTTCTTTTGTCTTCTTTTCCAAATTTGGGAAATCCTTGCCCAAAAGTTCTTCCAGATGAATTTTAGAGTCAGCCATTCATTCTCCAAGCCTTGAGTTTGGTGCCTCTTCATAATTCACACCAAGGTGTTATATAGACAAGAGGAGGCCTTGTAAAACTTGCGGTAGGAGAAGGTAGCCTTAAACAGGGGAGAAAAGACAAAAGCTAGAAGGAAAGGATTAAAATATACCTGCCCATCTGCCCCCTTTCATGAGCAGACCCAAATAGGACTACACAAACCCAGCCCAGTTACTCTTGGCAGGTTAGCATATGTGTTACGTGATCTAGCCAGCCTTAGGACAGCTTTAGGTTGGAGAGAATGTTTATCTGGGTCAAAACTGACTGGAGAGTAATCAGGAGTCAAAACTTCTTCTTTTGATCTCTTATGTAAAGAAGGTAACCCCCACCCCATACCCTGCACATCATGTGAGTAAAACAGTCCTATTCCTACTGGAAAAGCCACTTATTTTCAATGCTTTTGTTCTTTAGGAAAGGCTCTGTCAGCATTCTTTGTGACCATGCAGTTAGGTCATTATATTACTTGGATCCTATAAAAAGACCACTGTAGGATCAGGATTTGACCAGTTTTTTTTTTTTTTTTTTTTTGACGGAGTTTTGCTCTTGTCGCCCAGGCTGGAGTGCAATGGCATGATCTCAGCTCACCACAACCTCCGCCTCCTGGGTTCAAGTGATTCTCCTCCTGCCTCAGCCTCCCAAGTAGCTGGGATTACAGGCATGTACCACCACGCCCAGCTAATTTTGTATTTTTAGTAGAAACGGGGTTTCTCCATGTTGGTCAGGCTGGTCTTGAACTCCTGACCTCAGGTGATCCTCCTGCCTTGGCCTCCCAAAGTACTAGGATTACAGGCATGAGCCACCGCGCCCGGCCTTGACCAATTTTGATTGTGGTATTAGCAGTGAGAGAGAGAGAGAGAGAGAGAAAGTCTTGTAGATACTTCGTCCTCAGAGACAGAATTTACAAGGAGCCAGAAAACCTGGTCTAAGAGTTCTAATTTCTAATGGTAAATCTGTTGGTTTGGGCCAGATCAGGGGGTGTCATTTGAACTTTCTACACATTTTATCTTATTAAGTTTCACTGGGTTATAAAAATAAGAAAGTAATAGTGTTGGTATTAACAAGTTAAACAGTAGAAAGATTTATAAAGAAAAATGAACATCCCCCCTTCCTCCCCAATGCCACCCTTTCTTTTTAGGCAACCAATGCAAAAAACCATTTAGTATGTGTCTTTCTATTTCATTCTCCATGCTCACAGAAACACATATAAAGGACATACACATCATGTAGAATTGTTTTTATGTTCCTGCTGCATATGTTACTCTGCAATTTGCTTTTTTCACTTAAGACATTGTGGATATGTCTGCAAGTTCTTACGTACAGATTTTACTCATTATTTTTAATAATAGCATAATATTCTAAGATTTTTAACTCTTTTCCTATTGATGGACATTCAGGCTGTTCAGGCTGTTCCCTTTTTCTTCTTCTTCTTTATCTATTTATTTATTTTTTGAGACAGAGTCTCGCTCTGTCGCCCAGGCTATCTCAGCTCACTTCAACCTCTGCCTGCCAGGTTGAAGCAATTCTCCTGCCTCAGCCTCCCAAGTAGCTGGGACTACAGGCATGTGCCACCATGCCCAGCTAATTTTTTTGATTTTTAGTAGAGATGGGGTTTCATCATGCTGGTCAGGCAGGTCTTGAACTCCTGGCCTCATGATCCTCCCACCTCGGCTTCCCAAAGTGCTGAGATTACAGGCGTGAGCTACTGTGCCCAGCCTCGCCTTTTTTTTTTTTTTTTTGAGACTGGGTCTTGCTCTGTCACCCAGGCTGGAGTGCAGTGGCGTGATCTTGGCTCAGTACAACCTCCGCCTCCAGGATTCAAGTGATTCTCCTGTCTCAGCCTCCCAAGTAGCTGGGATTACAGGCACCTGCTACAACGCCTGACTAATTTTTTGTATTTTTAGTAGAGACAGGGTTTCGCCACGTTGGCTAGGCTGGTCTCGAACTCCTGACCTCAAGTGATCCACCCACTTTGGCCTCCCAAAGTGCTGGGATTACAGGCATAAGCCACCTTGCCTGGAGTCTTCGTTTTTTTAAATTGCTACAAATGTTGCAATAAAGATTATTGTACACATAAATAGGTATTGCTACATTTATTTTGGTAGGACAAAACGGCACAGATATCTGAATCAAAGGATGTGATGTGCACTATTAATTTTAACAGTTTGTTTAGCTGGGATGTGGAGGCACAAGCCTGTAGTCCTAGCTACTCAGGAGGCTGAGATAGGAGGATCCCTTGAGCCTGGGAGGCGGAGGTTGCAGTGAGCCGAGATCGCATCACTGCACCCCAGCCTGGGTGACAGTGAGACCTGTCTCAAAATAATAATAATAATAATAATAATAATAATAATAATAATTTTAATAGTTTCTTGAAGCAATTTATGCTCCCACCCTTTCCTCAAATCCTTGCCTCCCCTGAATCTTAGCAATCTTTTAAACTTTTGCCAATCTGAGAAGGAGAAATGGCATCTCAACTGTTCTTCCTTTTGCTCTCTTCCAATCTAGTCCTCAATCTGCAGACACAGTTATCTTTTTTGAAACACAAATCTTCAAATGTCACCTCCCTGCTTAAAATATTTCATTATCTTCCTGTCACTCTTAAAAGTTAAAATCTTTGACATGGCCAAAAAGCACCTTGTGGTATAACAGCCTACCTGCCTGAGTGGTGGACTTTTCTCCTAATAGAAAGGGCTTTCTCAATTCTACTGAGAAATTGTGATGATATATTAGGCTATTTGCCAGTACAAACCTCATCAGGAGCTACAACTTTTAATTTTTCTTTCTTCTTTTTAAAAGATGGGGGTCTTGCTATGTTGGCCAGGTTGGTCTTGAACTCTTGGCCTCAAGCAATCCACCCGCCTTGGCCTCCCAAAGTGCTGGGAATACAACCTTGAGCCACTGCACCCAGCCAAGCTACACCTTTAAAAATGTGACTAACTTATACCCGAAAGGAATAATTATTTCTATTTTATTTGCCTTGTTTTTTGAGTTGCTTCAGGCGGATCATTTAGAACAAACAGGGAAGAACAGGACTTGCCAAACTAAAAAGAAAAACATGTTAGGGCAGCACCTTGTCTGCTGAGGAATAGGCAAAAGCTCTCATCATAAATGTAGGGGGTTTTTGCTTCTCTTGTTTTTAAGTAGGACTTTTAAAGTAGAAGACACCTTTAATGTACTGGTTTGCAGAAGAGGAAATCTGATTTTCAGTGTGATAACATATTCTTTGACGTTAACCAGTACAGTTGGATTTTTAATGACACTTTAATCTTCAAAGGTTTACCAACACGGATGGATTAATTATTCATTTTGGAGGGGTTGTGTCTTAAAAAGACAAGTCTTCAAAGACATCATCCTTTCTCCTTGGAACTTGGAGTCTCCACCTTTCAAATGTTGCTTTCCTGCCCCCAAGAGAGAAAATAAATGACATTTTTTAAAGAAGAAGAATCCAATGGAAAAACACTCTTTGCGCTATGGAAAGATGATGTCCTTATATCCTGGGTGAGATTAGAAGAGGAGGCTGGGAAGCAGTATTTAAGCTGTGTTTACAGTAAGCACTGTGAGAAATAACCGGCTAAGCGCGTTTGTTATTGTTCAGTCTTTTGATGTGCTTTTAAAAAGTCGCATCTCCATAAAACACCCTCAACAACCATAAAACAACATATGTTGGAACATAATATGCAGACCCTTATATTCTTTGCTACAGTCTGTATTTTTCCTATACCCTTCAAACATGCCTCATTGAGTTTTTAAAAGATTCGGTTTGGAAGAAGAAAAACCTCAAGCCTCGCCCCGGGTCTTCCTTGACTTGACACATTTTATAACCGCAAGAGAGCAGTTTTTCCTTTGATGAGGCTAAGACCCCAGAAATGAAAGAGCAAGTTTAAGTTTGCAAACACTCTAAAAGCTCCTTCCATTAGACCTGGTCGCGGGAAACCACAAAGGACAGTCAAGTGATTTTCAAGGAGAAAGCCTCTGGTCCACTTTCCCTCCGCCGCCAGATCTGCAGGTTCCTGGGAGGAGCTCTTCTCAAATCCTGAAGATTGCTAGGCTCTTGGCGAACGACTCATCTCTTGAAGACCTAGAGTGGTGGATTACAGGCATTGAAAAGCTTTTGGTGGCTTTGGAAGATGACTCTGGTGTGAGCTCACCTTTCCAGGCTGGGGGACCAGGCAGAGGAACCCCCTTTGTTATCTTCTGAAAGAAGATCAGTGGGGAAGACGGGGTTTGAAGTGTGGATTAGGAGATCCTACGTCTTTGCCTACCACCTCTGCCTAAATCATAAAAAGATCGAGGAGTGCAATGAACTTCAGGAATCATGCACCGTTTCCCTGAAGCCTGTCCAGGAACCTAACTTCTGGACCCAGAAACTTCTGCAAAGACAGACCCACTGAGCCAGGCAGTCTGCACCAGCACCTCTGCTTCTAAGATTCTGTTTCGTCTTCTTCTATTGAGAGATTGACCTCTTGAGTGATTTGTGTGCTTTCCGGCAAATGATGGAGACGCGTAAACCGGCGGAACGGCTGGCCTTGCCATACTCGCTGCGCACCGCGCCCCTGGGCGTTCCGGGGACCCTGCCCGGACTCCCGCGGAGGGACCCCCTCAGGGTCGCCCTGCGTCTGGACGCCGCGTGCTGGGAGTGGGCGCGCAGCGGCTGCGCACGGGGATGGCAGTACTTGCCCGTGCCGCTGGACAGCGCCTTCGAGCCCGCCTTCCTCCGCAAGCGCAACGAGCGCGAGCGGCAGCGGGTGCGCTGCGTGAACGAGGGCTATGCGCGCCTCCGAGACCACCTGCCCCGGGAGCTGGCAGACAAGCGCCTCAGCAAAGTGGAGACGCTCCGCGCTGCCATCGACTACATCAAGCACCTGCAGGAGCTGCTGGAGCGCCAGGCCTGGGGGCTCGAGGGCGCGGCCGGCGCCGTCCCCCAGCGCAGGGCGGAATGCAACAGCGACGGGGAGTCCAAGGCCTCTTCGGCGCCTTCGCCCAGCAGCGAGCCCGAGGAGGGGGGCAGCTAGCGAGCGCCCGAACTGGCCAGGACCCCCGCGCCCGCCGCACAGCGCGCAGCCGGGCGCTCAACCTAAGGTCCTCTTCGAAGGTGGTTTGCATTCTTAATCTGGCATCTTCTCCAGGCCTAAATCTTAAGAAAAAGAAATGGGTGCTGGGGTTTGGGGGATGGGGGAGTTGTTTTGACATTTGGGAATTTCTCCCCTGCCCTTATTGGTTACGTGCCTGCAACTTATAGGTGCTTATTAAGGAGACTCTTTTCCTATACTTCTAAAATGCAAACTGTTTCAGATTCTGAGCACCTCATTGTAAATACGATTATTCTAAAAACTCAAAGGGCGAGAACAACTGGAATTTCCCACCTTCCGTGGTGTGGGTAAATGGTATACATAAACATTAAACCTTAACCAAAGAAGAACTTTACCGCCACCAAAACAGAAACAACCCCAAACAGCCAAAAACAGTCCTTAAAAATGAGAGGAACATTTTCTTGCATTCCTTCCTTCGGGAATTGTATTCAAAATGTAATGGAAAGTAATTGTTGACCTCCTGCTTTGGGTGAAGGAGACTGTAAGCTGGTACTTGAGAACGAATTTGCCAGCATGTGCTGTTGTTGACTGTGTGAATGATGGTGCCAGGGAATCCGTGGCTTGGTACACACTGTTTCATCCAGTGGCCACGTGGAAGCTTTGTAGCATTGAGCAGATAGTAAAATATCTTAGAATTAATGATCTCTTTGGAAGAGAGCCCAGATTTGTATGAAAACTTGTTTTTCCTCTCAATTGTTTTGTCCACTGTTTTCTTCATTTTCCTTTTCTCTGCATACCCCCCGCCCCCCAACGTGTAGCTCTCCATCTAAGTTTTGGATAAACTGAAGTGGCACTGTGACTTTAAAAATAAAAAAGAAATCTACTTGGAAGTCCTTTTTGCGGGTTGAGCCAGATGGGGGAAAGATATGGGACAAGACGGATGGATTGAAGTTGGTACATTCTCAAATATTTTTATCACCATTAGGGCTTCCAGGTACAGTATATGGAAATGATGTAGTGACTTTGGCCATGTTAAAAGCCTTTTTAAAATATTGAATTTGGGTCATTTTTTTTCTAAGAAACAATTTTGAGTTCAGTAGATAAGTTAAATGCCTGCTGATGTATGAAGATCAACTTCCCTAAGATTGTTTTCTAATATGCCGAATTATCCTTTCCATGGAGGCAGCTTTGGTTTGTGGGGGAAGAAGGAGGGGAAATGGAAATGGACAAAGAGAACTAACAGTGGAAGTGCATCCTCCAGGTAGATTTCACTTAGATTTTATTACCCCCTTTTACAGTTGTAGCAACTAAGGCAGGCTATATCTTCAGTGGACATCTTTTATGTGCTAGGAATTTTGTTGTGGCTTTTTACATTTTGTCCTATTTAATTGTCATAAATTTGTGGGGTGGGTATGACAAATATTTTGTGATTAAAAAAAATATGAAGCTCAAAGAGGTTACATACCTTGACCAGTTTAGTGTTGCTAGGATTCCTTGAGCTGAGATCAAGTCCCGAGCCTGAACCCAAAGCCAAGGATTTCTTTCTCCCTTACCATGCTGTCTCTTGCTCTGTCATTTGCTAGCAGAGCAAATGTTGCTTCAACTCAGTTTTCTCACCTGTACAGAAATGTTTACAGAAGTGTATGTGAAAGACCTTGGTAATCTGCAAGGCACTAACCAATGATAAATTAGTAGTTTTATTATTTTGGGGAAAATACTATTTCTCAGTTTATGGAGAGTAAAGCCTGGTTAAGAATAAAATCTCTAGGTGGAGTTGGTATGATTTCTTCAGTGTTTCAAAAGAGGGACAGAGTGACCACACTCTCTTACCTCCTCTGGTAATGTTCTAGGATACATGCTTTGAACACTGAATCCATGTTAAAACATAGAATTGGCTGGGTGCAGTGGCTCACCCTGTAATCCCAGCACATTGGGAGGCAAAGGTAGATGGATCGCTTGAGCTCAGGAGTTTGAGACCAGCCCAGGTACTGGAAACCTTAACGTGGTTTTATTTAAAGCCCTGTTGAGAATGAGGCAATGATTTTGAGAAACCTTTTGGAAAAATAAAAATAAAACCATCTCTCAGCTGGGTGTGGTGGATCATGCGTGTAGTCCCAGCGCTTTGGGAGGCCAAGGTAGGAGGATTACTTGAGGCCAAGAGCATGAGACCAGCCCTTGGCAACATATAGAAACCTTGTACCTACAAAAATTAAAAAAATGTATCCGGGCTTGGTGGCACGCCTCTGTAGTCCCAACTGCTCAGGAGGGCGAGGTTGGAGGTTTCCTTGCACCCAGGTGTTTGAGGCTGCCGTAAGCCATGATCGTGCCTCTGCCTGCACTCCAGCCTGGGCAACAGAGTAAGACTACTATTTAAAAAAATAGTAATAATTAAATGAACTCCTTCCGCAATCATATAACTTTTTAAAAGAAGAAATCTTGCAGTTTTTCTGAGACCTTCCCCATGACTTACAGGAGGAGCACCAATCCGGGAATGAGACCTTTAAAAAGGTTTGACCTCTTTTCCGGCGAATGATCACTTCATTAACCCTAGAACAATTTGACTTTCAAAAGGAACAAAATAAATTTCCAGTGAATTTTGTGGAAGCAAGAATGGAGGGGAGTTTTATGGCAATGAAGCATTCATAAAAGGAGAAAGATTTTCATGTCCTTCAACATCTTCCCTTTTTTTATTTTTCCCACTCAGCCCAGACATATCCCTTGATCACACTTGATTGCTTTTAGAATACTCCCTGTGGTTGGCAACCTGAGTAATTGCTGCGACACCCCATCCCACCCCACCCCACCCCGAGCGTGCAAAGCAGGAGCTGCGTTGGGATGTGGCAGAGCGTGCCCTGGCCCTGGGGCTGGATCCAGCTCTTGCCACTCACTGACTTGGTGACTTTGAGCAAGTCCCTAACTGTTGTGTTCTCAGTTTTCTATGCTAGAACACATGAAGAGTGTCACATTATCTTTTAGACTCTTCCAGCTGGAAAATATCATGCATCCGACCTGTGCAAAGTCCGAGCTGAGGGAAGCAAATGTAATAAGACATGCCCACTTCCTGCCACACAGCACGGTGCTTTCTGTTCCTGTATTTCCCTCTTCCCACTAGAATGATCCAGCCCTGGGGCTGCGGCCTACTTTTTTTTTTCTTGCTGTTACCACGCCCAGTTAAAACAAAACAGCACAAAAAATCACCAAAAGCTTTATAAGTTTTTTATGGAATGGAACTTGAAGACTCTTTACAAGCTGGTAGGGAAATAGACCGGTTTTACCTCAATATGAGGAAAAAGGTATAAATGGTATAACTGATATCCAAAATGGAAGATATGCTATGAGGAACCAAAGAAAAGAGGGATTTGGTCCAGCCTCAAGTGAGAAGGGAGCAAGAAGGAAAGGCTTTGGTGGATGCAGTGTTTAGTAGGTAAGAATGGAACGAGAACTCCAGGCAGAGGGAATAAGAGGAACAAAGTTGCTGCAAAGACAGGAACTGTTTGGAGAGCGCAGAGAGGCTGAGTAATAGGAGACTGCATACAATGGCTGAGGCAGCTCTAGGGACATTGAAAGCCAGGCTAAAACAGCTTGGAGTTTATTTTTTAACCAATGGGGAACTACTGAAAAAAAAATTGAGGGAGGGTTTTGGAGAAGGTACGTGGTTAAGGATCATGGTACTCCGGTGGTAGGAAGCAGCGGACCAATAGGGTATTGCCATAATTAAGGGAGAGGAAACAAAGTAGGGGCCTGAACTCTGACAGTATCATTGGGAATGTGAAGGGAGGGATGGATTGACAAGTGGAACTGATAGGTCTTGGCAACTCAGAGGAGGGGGAGGGGATGAGGAAGAGGGAGAAGTTAAAGACAACTGTGGTTGAAATTGAGAACACAGAAAGAGAAGTGGATTTAAAATGTAAGAGTCTTGTTTTGGAGACGCTGAATGTAAAATACTGGTAGGCTACTCCTGCCCACAAGCAACTGAAAATGCTGAGGTTGAGGTAAAGAGAAAAGTCAAGCGTAGCTGTTTCTTTAAGAGCCACACACTTATGGGGAGTTATAGAAGTAGGTATGATCTCCACAGGAGAATGTTGATGAGAAAAAGAGAAGAATTGGGCATGGTGGCTCACACCTGTAATCCCAGCACTTTGGGAGCCTGAGGTAGGAGGATCACTTGAGCCAGGAGTTCAAGACCAGCCTGTGAAACATAAGGAGACTCCCCGCTGTCTACAAAAAATTAGCCAGGCAGGGTGGTGCATGCCTGTGGTCCTAGCTACTCGGGAGGCTGAGGTGGGAGGATCACCTGAGCCCAGGAGGTCGAGGCTGCAATAAGCCATGATCACACCACTGCATTCCAGCCTGGGCAACAGAGTGACACTGTGTCTCAAAAAATACATATAAATAAATAAATAAAGAGAAGAAAGCAGGGACAGGCCTGCGTTGAAGGTGTGTCAGAAGAAGAAATGTCTTTGAAGAGAGCTGAGAAATAGGAGCCAGAGAAGTTGGAAAGAGAATCAAGCTGGTATGAAATTGTGGCAATTAAATGAGGATATAATTGTATAAGAAAGAGGGAATGAGTGACAGCATCCTATGAATCAGAGGTGTCAGATGGTTGAAGTATGAGGGGATCTTATTGGGTTGAGCCCTTCACTCTGGCCCCAGTTTCTCTGCAATGTGCTGCGTGAGGCAGGGCCTGGATTGCTGTCCTGACTTTAGCACTGTCTATTGCTAGAGACCTCTGTAAGAGCAGAAATAGCACAGTGGATTGAAGAAATGAGAAGTGGAAGTCAACTTGAAGACTGCCTTTTCTGGATACTTCACAGTGAAGGGAGAAAGAGAGCTGGGCTGGTGTGACCCAAATGGAGGAAAAGATGGGATACCAAAGATACTTCTGAGCCTGAGGTCTTACAGGTAAACAGGTCTAGCTGATTCAGAGGCTCAGAGGTGACAAGGCTTCAAGGAGTCTGAAATTAGGTGGAGGTGAAGGTCTTAGGAATTGGAGAGATTAAATAACTGGGAGGGCAGAGGGTTGGAAGGTAATGCACTAAAACTAAGGTAGGTTTTTAAGTCATTGAAGAAGATGGAGCTGGTTCTGCCATTTGCAGACAGTGGAGATGAAAATGAGATGAGGGTTGTATGAAAAGTATACCTGTGTGGGTTTAATATTGTTCCTTGGGTGCTAACTAGTTTCAAAAGCATTAAGTTATCAGTTTTTAATGACTTGGTTAAAAAAATGAGACAGATCTTCTCCATAATGGCACATTTTAAATGATATTCATATTTATTTAGTAGTGTAAGGTTTTGTAACTATAAATATCTCCAGAAAGTTCTGCAGTGTTTATTTATTTATTTACTCATTTATTTATTTTTGAGACAGAGTTTCACTCTGTCACCCAGGCTAGAGTGCAGTGGCATGATCTCAGCTCACTGCAACCTCCGCCTCCTGGGTTCAAGCATTTCTCCCACCTCAGCCTCCTGAGTAGCTGGGACTACAGGTGCCCACCACCACACCCAGCTAATTTTTGTATTTTGGTAGAGATGGGGGTTTCGCTGTGTTAGCCAGGCTGGTCTCAAACTCCTGATCTCAAGTGATCCACCTGCCTCGACCTTCCAAAGTGCTGGGATTACAGGTATGAGCCACCACACCTGGCCTAGTGTTTATTATATGAGACTGTGATAATATATGCCACACACCTTGCCCAAGAATCTGGCAGCAAATAATAGGTGCTCAATAATTCATTTATTTCCTTTTGTCTGTGGCTTCTGGGGTAAAAAAATACACTGCTTATGTACAAAAACATCAACAAAGAAACCAATACGGAGTAAATGCAATAGATTAAAGGCTAGAGAGAAATAAATAGTACCTTACTTTCTTTCCTTTGTGGAATTTCTGGGGATGGGGGAAGAAGAATAAAAACTTGTCAAAGAAGAACAGGGTTTGGAGGAGAGTAGAACTGAGATGCCCTTCGGTCATCTAGATCTGAAGATATGGGGTCTGTGCCTTTCACAGAGCAGTTTTGGATCTGTGGGCAACAGAACTTCAAGCCTGGACCCTGGGACTTAATTCCTGTCCTCCTGACTCCAAGTGCTATAAGCCTGCAATGGACTGTATGTTTGTCCCCCTCCACCGCAAATGTGTATGTTGAAATCCTAACCCCCAATGTGATGGGGTCTTTGGGAGGTGATTAGGTCATGAGGTCATGGGGCTGGAGCCCTCATGAGTGGGATTAGTGCCCTTAAAAGGGACCCCTAGAGAGTTCTCTCATCCTCTTTGTGACATCTAAGGATACAATGAAAAGTCAGCAGTCTGCAACCCAGAGAAGGCCCCTCACCAGAACCCAGCCATCATCTTGGCATCCTAATATTGGACTTCCAGCTTCCAGAACTGTGAGAAATAAATGGCTGTTTAAGCTGCCTAGTCTACAGTACTTTGCTATAGCAGTCCAAAGGGACTATCACAAAGCCTTAAACTGAACTTGAGAGCCAAGTCAAATCAGGCTGGGGAAGGTATCTCTAGGCTGTGTCAGCATTCTCCAGCTATAATCAGTTAAGAGGTTTCAGAAGGGTGTGCATGCCAAAAGCTTTCTGAGCTGTTTCTGTCTAGACAAAGGTTTTCTTCAAAGCTTTCAAAGTTATCGTCATCATCTCCAAAAATGGTTAACAATCCCATTTTTCACCCTAGGAATGAAACTTTTGATAGCAATGTTGACCCACGGAAACCTTCTCACAGTGATCACTGTAAAGGCAGACTGTACCCCTAGGCGAGCTCTTTTGACCCTTCTGTCAACCATTGCCAGCTCTTTCATCTCCACATCAAGACAGACAGGCTGCTGGGAGAGGGCAGACAGCCTGAAGGGGCTTTATATTTTCTTTATTGGACCATGAAACCATAGCACTGTCTCTAGCTCTTTGATTATTGTCGCTAAGTTGTGTATGTGTGTTTTACTCACAGGCTGTCTGGGTGGTGAGATTGGTTTTTTAATCCTTTCATAGCTATTTAGCTGCGTCCTTTGGTGAAGAACTGTCAGTGGCCTTTTCATGTTGGGTTACTCACTGTCATGGACCATGGCCGAAATGAAACCTCAGATGCTGCAGAGGGAAGTGTGTCCGGATGAGAAAACTCTCCAAACCAGTTTCTGCCCACAGAGCAGGCCTTGAGGGGGCCATTTCTGAAGTTGTTTCTCATCTCCCTGACCATGAAAAAAAATATCTGAAGGAGGAATCCTATCTCAGAGTCACAGGACTAGAGAGGGCTTTGGGAAATGACCTCCTTTGATCCTGGGAATTTTAGAGAAATAAGGGTTAAACTGTGCAGGACAGAAGCATATCTGTTCTTTCTTAAAAGACCACCAAACACAGATTCTCCCATCAGGTAACATTTCCTGAGGGCCTATTATAAGGCAGGCTAGTCCTTTATTTTTTTTAAACTTTTTAATTTTTTTAATACTTTTTAATTTTTTTTATTTTTGAGACAGAGTCTCGTTCTGTCACTCAGGCTGGAGTGCAGTGCCGCAATCATGCTCACTGCAGCCTTAATTTCCCAGGCTCAAGCACTTCTCCCACCTCAGCCTCCCAAGTAGCTGGGACTACAGCTGCATGCCACCATGCCTGGTGAATTTTTTATATTTTTTTGTAGGGTCTTGTTATGTTGCCCAGGCTGGTCTCAAACTCCTGGGCCTGAACTCTTGGGCTCAAGTGATCCTCCCATCACGGCTTCCCAAAGTGTTGGGATTACAGGTGTGAGCCACTGTGCCCCATTCCCCCCACTTTTTTTTTTGAAAGTTACTCTGTTACTCAGGCTGTAGTGTAGATGGCACGGTCACAGCTCACTGCAGCCTCCACCTCCTGGGCTTAAGTGATCCTCCGCCTCAGCTTCCTGAGTAGCTGGAACCACCGGCATGCACCACCATGTCTGGCTAGTTTTTAAGATTTCTTTTTTTTTGTAGAGACAAGCTCTCCCTGTGTTGTCCAGGCTGGTCTCAAGCTCCTGAACTCAAGTGATCCTCCCACCTCGGGTTTTCAAAGTGCTAGGATTATGGGCATGAGCCACTGCACCAAGCCTGGCCCTTGTAAATACTATTCCCATCTGATCTTCACAACCATCCTACAAGCCATGTATTCTATTTCACTTCCATTTTAAAGTTGAGGAAACTGAGACTTAGAGAGGTTGAGACACATCACACAGGTTAAGTGGTAGTAAACCACATCTTGTTGCAAAACCTGTGCTCTAAGCCTCTATTATGTCATTCATTTGGGCTTCCTCCATCTGTCTGTCCATTCGTCAATCAGCAAATAGTTACTGATTGCTTATAGGAAGCTTAATGATAATGGCTAAAAAGAAAAATAGAGGATTTTTGTTGTTTAATGACTTTTAATCCTTACTTTCCACCAACATCTGTTTCCTGTCTCTGTTCTGAGGCTCAGTGCTGACCACATTCAAATGACTAGACAACTTTCAGTTGTAATCAAGCATATTTTAAGATTGACATTAAGTCTCCCTGTAAGCTCTTCTTATTTGAGACCTATAGTTGTCATACAGCTTAGTATCCACACAATAAAATGAGGTACAGGTGGAATAAAGTGGATTTGGGGTCCTGGTTGCTTGGGGAATTCTTGTTAACCCCCATTCATATTCACAGCAACTGAGGTTGATTCAGAACATTTCCTGATATATTTCTGGTTTGACATCTGAAGGGAGGGCAAAGTGTTCTCTCCAGAAAGCTCATGACTATAGTTAACCTTGACAAAGTAGAAAGGACCTGGGTTCCAGTCCTGATATTACCCCCTTAAGGGCTATGTTTCCTTGGCAAGTGACATGACCTCTCTGAACCTATTTCCCCATTTGTCAAGTAGAACACCTATTCCATCTCATAGGGTTGTGGTAAAAGTGAAATTAGGTTACATAAATAAAAGAGCTCTATAAAGAGCTGTTATCACTATGAACTCATGTGCAAACAAATTCTCTAATGGAAGTTTGAGATAGCTTTGCAGAGAAAATACAACTACAGTACTCTGGCATGTAGAAAAATTCAAAGCAATATGGTCAGTCATGTTGATTAAATCTTTAATTATAGTAACGTAGAAGATTATTTAATGTTGTGTAACAAGCTACCCCAAAACTTACAAAAATGATTTATTATTCCTCCCAAGTCTGTGTTAACTGGTGGTCCATTGGCTTGTGTCCCCTGGGCTCATGTCTCTAGTGACAGAATGCAACTGAAATGGCTGCATGGTCCAAGATGGCCTATCTTACATGGCTCATGGTTGGCCTTCTCTCTATATGTGGTCATTCATCCTCAAGGAGTTCTGGGCTTCTTTCCACAATGATCTCAGAGTAGCAGGAGGGCAAGAAAGAAGGCTGCGAGGCCTTTTAAGACCAAGGCTCAGCTGGGCACGGTGGCTCACGCCTGTAATCCCAGCACTTTGGGAGGCCGAGGCAGGCGGATCATGAGCAGGAGATCGAGACCATCCTGGCTAACATGGTGAAACCCCGTCTCTACTAAAATAGAAAAAATTAGCCGGGCATGGTGGCAGGTGCCTGTGGTCTCAGCTACTCGGGAGGCTGAGGCAGGAGAATGGCATGAACCCAGGAGGTGGAGCTTGCAGTGAGCCAAGATCGCACCACTGCACTCCAGCCTGGGTGACAGTGTGAGACTCCATCTCAAAAAAAAAAAAGACCAAGGCTCAGGAGTCACATAATGTCTGCCTTCTTTTGGTCAGAGCAAGGGACAAAGCTACCTAAATTCAAAAGGCAGGACAATAGACTCTCCCTCTTGATAGGGAAGGCCACAAAGTAACATTGCAAAGAAGCATCCAAAATAGGAGAAAATGTGACCCCATTGGCAAATGATCTACCATAAGTCCTTTGTGTATGAGGTGTCATTCTTTGTTTCAAAATAATATATTTTTAAATAATTTCAAACTTACACTAAAGTTGCCAGAACAGTACAGAGAACGATCATCTCCCATTTACCCACATTCCCTAATTGTTCATTTTACTTCTTTTCTTCTTTGCCCTCTCTCTATAAGTAAGTACTAATTATCATAAGTTGTTTGGGAATTTTTATCTTTTTTTGAAATTACAATTAGATATTAGAGACAGGGAGTCTCACTATGTTGCCTAGACTGGTCTGGAACTCCTGGCTTCCCAAAGTGCTGGGATTATAGGCATGAGCCACCATGCTTGGCCTGTTTCTGAATTTTTATTTATTTACTTTTATTTTTTGAGACACAGTCTCACTCTGTTGTCCAGGGAGGAGTCCAGTGGTGCGATCTCAGGTCACTGCAGCCTCCATCTCCCAGGTTCAAGCAATTTTCGTGTCTCAGCCTCCCAATAGCTGGGATTATAGGCGAGCACCACCATGCCTGGCTAATTTTTGTATTTTTAGTGGAGATGGGGTTTCATCATGTTGCCCAGGCTGGTCTTGAACTCCTGGCCTCTAGTGATCCTCCCTCGTTGTCCTCCCAAAGTGCTGGGATTACAGGTGTGAGCCACTGTGCCCAGCCTGTCATGTCTTTTCAAATTTCTTCAATCTGAAACAGTTTGTCATCATCCTTTCCCTGTCTTTCATTTCCTTGACAGTTTTAAGCATGCAGGCCTTACATTCTGTAGGACAACCCTCAACTCAGGTCCATCTGATGTTCACTCATTCATGGCAGGAACATTGCAGAGATGGCGATGTGCTCCTCTCAGTGCTTCACACCAGGGACGGGCTTGTTCCACCATTGGTGATGTTGACCTTAATCATCTAGTCATGTTGGTGACTGTTGGATTTCTCTACCTTAATTTCACCATTTCACCTTTGTAATTGATTAGTATTGGTGGTGGGGGGTGGTATTCCAATATTATGGCAATATCCTGTTCTTTGTCACACTTCCACCAACTAGCTTAGTATTCATCAACAGCTCCCACATGAATCAGTCCCCTCCATAGTGGTTGTCCAATGTTGATTATTTCCATGAGTTCCTCCATATTTATTAATTGGCATTCTCTTGTAAGGAAGAACTTTCCCTACTCTCCCATTGATTCATTTATTCACACCAGCATGAATTCATTTAGTGAGTTGTGCTTGATTAATACTTACTTTTTGAGATAGGGTCTTGCTCTGTTGCCCAGGCTGGAGTTCAGTGGCCTTATCCTAGCTCACTGCTATAGCCTCGAACTCCTGGGCTCAAGCGATCCTCCCATCTCAGCCTCTCAAGGGACTGTAGGCATGTGCCACTGTTTCTGGCTAATTTTTAAAGTTTTTGTACAGATGGATACTCACTATGTTGCCCACACAGGTCTTGAACTCCTGGCCTCAAGTGATCCTCCTGCCTTGGCATTGATTGATTGATTGATTGATTGATTGATTGACTGAGACAGGGTCCTGCTCCGCTGCCCAGGCTGGAGTGCAGTAGCACAGTCTCAGCTCACTGCATCCTGGACCTCCTGGGCTCAGGTGATCCTCCACCTCAGCCTCCTGAGTAGCTGGGACCATAGACACGCCAAACACACGTGGCTAATTTTTAAATTTTTTTAGAGACGGGGTTTTGCTATGTTGCCCAGGCTGGTCTTGAACTCCTGGGCTCAAGCAATCCTCCTGCCTTGGCCTCCGAAAGTGCTAGGATTACAGGCATGAGCCACCACACCTGGCCCTTGGCCACTATTTATTTTTGATGCTCAAATTGTTCTTCTTTTGACCATGGGAGTCCCTTCAAGCTGGTTCCTTTTGACAAGTCTTCATCATTCATTGAACACTTCCTTATTTTCTGCCAAGAAAATAATGTTTCAGCCACCCTGACCCCCATCTCTAACACACACACACACCACACACACACACACACACACACACACACACACACACTGACTTAACAAGGATGATTTCAGTGAACCCCATGTATTATATGCAAACTTTTGTGTGCATTTTTCTGGGAAACAGTCTAGCCTAGCTATGCACAGATTCTTAGGGAAAATCCCTGACCTCAAAACACTTAAGGACCATTGATTAACATCTCAAGGGACTCCTGGCCATTCTTTCAGATCTCCTGTTTATCAGGTTAATTATTGGGTAGTCTGGAGGGGCTTTAGCCTTCTTACTATCTTAATTACCTCCAACCTAAAACAACCTCTAGCTTACAGGAAATGCTCAGTATATGTTGGTTATTAAGATATTAGGGAAGATTCTCCTGCTCTGTTGCTAGATGCCTCAGGGTCTGAGTCCTGAATATCCTAGTGGAATTTCCAGTTCAGCTGGCTATAGAACTAATAAAAATAAACATAAAAAGGAGAAAAAGGCTAATTTTTTTTGGATCGTGAGAAGGCAGGTGTTAATTCCTGCAGTGCCCCAGGTGGAAGTTTATTGAGTCTTATGAAGTAAGCAGCCCTGGGATGGGAGATGTCCAACAGCCACCTGGATGGCCTCAGCTGCCTTGCTCCCTCTCTACCACCCACATGGTTGACAGTGGTTAGTTTCTTTCAGGAAAGATGGGAAAATATACGCTGGTCCCAGAACCCTCACACCTGAAGTGATCTTGTTCTTTCACACCTGAAGTGATCTTGTTCTCTCCTGAAACCAAAGCATGCATTGTTTCCTCTTCAGTGAGTTATGAATTGCCTTCTGGTGTTCATTTCACTTCACTGAATATTTCTAAATGCCTTCTAAGGGCAGAACTAGGGCTTGCTTTTTATTTTGTCAGTTGTAAGACACAGTCACCCAGCTTCTCAGCAATGTGCTGAGTGAGGCTGGCAAGTTCCTTGGGGTCACTGGGCCTCATTTCCTTGTGGGTCCTGGGGAGCTGGATTATGGGCCATCTAGCTTCCTTCAAGCTCAACATTAGGTAACTCTATCATTGTTAGCTCCTGTGTTAGTTGACTTTTCATATGTAAATAATGAAGGATTTTTGCTCCTTATTTCAGCTAAATCCGAGTTCTTGTGTCACGACCAGGAAAAATTAAGCACATGGACACATTGAAGGGTGAGGACAGCGGAATTTACTGGGCGAAAAGGAAAACAAAAACCCTTAGCAAAGTGAAAAGGGGTCCCCCAATAGGCTCCCACCTCGCAGATTGACTATCAGGCCACCACACACAAAGTGAAGAGGCCAGGGCTCCTCCCCACTGCACAAGGCACAAATTTCCCCATTCTCCCAGGCGGGTCCCCAGTCCATTGCAGGCATGCGCAGACAAGACCCTGGGCAGGTTCTCTCATCTGCACAAAAGCATTTGATGTAAACACTTGTCGGGCAGGTTGGAGATTTTCCAGCGACCTTCCCTCATCTGCCTCCTGCATCTATCATTCCGTCCTCTAACAAAGCCCATCTAATGCCATTATTATAAGGATAAGGATTAGGATGAAGACTGATCTTAACTGCTTCCTGCTGACAGCGGGTGCTGATTTGGGAAAGCAGCAGTCAGATCTCCCTCAGATGCCTGGCTAAGGCTTGCTGACAAAAGGGTCCATCGTCTGAGGCTCCTGTTGCATGATCGTTTGAAGTTTGATGGCCTGAACGCGAGAAGAGACAAACCAGGTTACTAGAAAGCAAGTATCGAAATGAACGGGGCGGTAAGGACAGCTCAAAAACCCCCAAGGCCTTTTACTTGTTTGCACAGAGAGAGGGAGGCCAAAAGTCCGACTGGTTAAAAAAAAAACTTTTACCCTTTTGCTGGCATGTCTGCCTACTGGGTTCCCTTCCCCCAAGCCCAATCCTAAGCCAACCAATTTAAGTTTTGGGAAATTAACTTTTTCTAGTTTGGAGGATGGATCTGAGGAGAGTGTCCCATAATACAGAGACCTATCGGTGAAGAGAGGACAGAGGAGGAAAAAGGAAAAAAGAAGGTGTTTTTTTCAAAGCAGTCCCAGGGGTTCAGGATGCATTCAAAAGGGTTACATACTGAAGATGAATGTCTACTCATCTAGAAAGAGGGAAGTGAGGCATCCAGATTCCCTTCTCTTCCTAGCAAATACCTGAGGTACATGAGGGAGAGAAAGTGAGGCATCCCTCTTTCTTTCTTCCAGTCTTATATCCCTGAGTCCCAGCCACTGCAACAGGTGCTTGCTGCTCATGGGTGTCAAAGCAGCTTTCACCCATGTTAACAAGGAGGGTTGGGGGTGGGAATATCTGCTCTTACCCAGATACGCACTATTTCCCCTGCTGTCAGGAGCCTTTGACTTCCCTAGACTTCATGTATACCATGGATACTAGCATGACTTTTATCCATGAAATGGGGAGGTTAAATGGGGAGGTTGGTTTAATTGGCAGGAATTAGTCATGCTCACCTGTGCTGTGCCTTTTAACTTATGTTATTATCTGCCTCTGGATCCTTCAGATCCAGTTTTCTTTTCTAGGGCTTTGACACAAAGCTTGGAATTGAGTTTAGGACAAAAATGTGTCTCAGGCGAGGGGTTATATGTACTCCTTATCTTAAGCCAAATGCTAAAGTGAAGCTGTGGAGTTGAGTCCTCCTTCAACAAGGGAGAGAAAAGGATGTCTTGTTACACACCCAGATAACTGGTGGCTATAGTTATGCTTGCTAAGATTTGGGTGCATGGGGCTTGGCTTTGGTTAGCTCCCTTGGTCTTACTTTCCCAACAAGGAAAGTTGATGGGTGATGAGCACCCTATTTGTTCCCATCACCTGGGCAGGATTTGCAGGATAATTGCTCAGAACTAGAATATTGATCCAGATTTTTACATTACCCATCCCTTTTGTTCCCTCTGAGCTGCAGTTGGAGATTGCTGGTAGGTTCACAGGAATAAGCAGGGTTAGTCTAAAATGTAGGCAAAAACTTAAAAACAACTAATGAGTCTGGAATTTAATGACAAATGTATGTTAGGTTTTGAAACATAATTTCTCTAGCCCCAGTCCCCATTCTTGTTAAAAACAAATCAGGATAGGACTGAATTGTTTGCAAAATAGACTTTAGTCTTATACTTGGCCTGATTATTTGCATAAAGTGCAGCAAGAATAATTATTTTTATATAGGCCTGAGATTGGTTTTGATGAAACTCAGTTCCACAAGGAATCTCAAATAGGACTTTCCAAGCTGAGCCCAGCCATGGGTGTGTACCCTCAAAATACCTGTGAGTTGGGTAAACTCCTTTCTTCTTGGGGTCCCAAGAACATGGGGTTCCTGGGCCTGTTAGAAAGTGACATTCTTGACTGGGCATAGGTGGCTCATGTCTGTAATCCCAGCACTTTGGGAGGCTGAGGTGGGTGGATCACCTGAGGTCAGGAGTTCAAGACCAGCCTGGCCAACATGGCAAAACCTTGTCTCTATTAAAAAATACAAAAATTAGCCAGGCATGGTGGTGTGTTCCTGTAATCCCAGCTACTCAGGAGGCTGAGGCAGGAGAATCACTTGAACCTGGGAGGCAGTGGTTGCAGTGAGCTGAGATCGTGCCACTACACTCCAGTGTGGGTGACAGAATGAGACTCCATCTCAAAAAAAAAAAGAGAGAAAGAAAGAAAAGAAAGAAAGAAAGGAAGAGAGAAAGAAAAAGAAAGAAAGAAAGAAACATACATTCTTTACTTACCACAGGCCAGGAACCCTATATGGGGACTGTGTAGACAAGGTATGAGGCCAATTTTCCTAAGGGGCTTTTATTGGCTTTGCAAATCAAGCTTGACTTCTTAAAGGGAAGCATACCCTTCCAGTCAAAGCCTTGGTAAAACAACTCATTTGTCTGTTGCAAAAGAAAATGGATTCTTGTTGCACAGATGCAAACAACTATATTGCCATAAGTTAGGAATACTCACAACTAGTTTCTAAATTCTGGAGAAGCCAGGCAGAGAGAGAAAGACAAATATGCTCAAAATTTTATTCACAGGAATATACCTTACTCAATTATTAAAGGCCATAAATAACTCAAAATAAGTTTCCTTGACTCTGAAAAACAAGACAAAGATCAGCAATGTTCCAAGCAAAAGTCAGAAGATTACTTCAGTTTTCTGCTAGTTCAGTCCATTTGGTTAACTCTTATTTTGCTTGATATTTGTGAGGATTTCAGCTCTTCATGAGTCCTGTATGTTTTTACTTTATTCCAATGCCATAATCTCCAAAGTTATCAGAAACCTGCATTTGAGAGCATCTGTCAAATTTCTATAGTTGATTATAAACCATCTTTTGAAGAGAATCAAAACAAGACAATTGTCTGTGAATAACAAAATGTCCAGGGTAGTTACAGTCATAAACATGATTGACAGAGTAATTTGGTTATCTCCGTGGTTTACAATAACTTAACATAACATCCTTAATTGTGCCTGATAGCATATACTCAGACATTAAAATTTTAGAAATCCCATACAATTTTGGAGCAAATATTTATATTATTCCCTAAAATATAAGCTGAAGAAGATTAAACATCATTTTGGCAATCCCATGTACCTAAACATGTCAGGTGATCCTGTTTACCTCTCTTCTGGATGTTCCAAGGGCCTGCTGTAGCATTCAATATCCAGGTGTCAGGAAAAATGATTTTGAAACTGAAGTTTGATTTTAGGAAGCCTGTTAAATATGTTAGAAGTTTAAAATACTTCATGTTATAAAACAGAATTCCAGATTACCTTAAGTTATTTATTTTGCCAAAATGACGACTCAGAAATTTTAAAAAAGCAAAAACCTTTTATAACCCTTTACAAATTTTGCTAAAGAGCAGATAAGTGCTTTAAGAGTACCTTATTGTGCTTTTATTTCAATGCTCAATTTACAGAAAAATGATATAATACCCTTTTGAATTAGTAAATATGTTCACACATGAGATTTCTTTTCTTTCTTTCTTTCCTTTCTTTCTTTCTTTCTTTCTTTCTTTCTTTCTTTCTTTCTTTCTTTCTTTCTTTCTTTCTCTCTTTCTCTCTCTCTCTCTCTTTCTTTCTTTTTTTTTGAGACAGAGTCTTGCTCTGTTGCCCAGGCTGGAGTGCAATGGTGTGATCTTGGCTCACTACAACCTCCACTGCCTGGGTTCAAGGGATTCTCATGCCTCAGCCTCCTGAGTAGCTGGGATTACAGGCATGTGCAATCATGCCTGGCTAAGTTTTGTATTTTTAGTAGAGACGAGGTTTTGCCATGTTGGCCAGGCTGGTCTCCATCTCCTGAACTCAAGAGATCTGCCCGCCTCGGCCTCCCAAAGTGCTGGGATTATAGGCATGAGCCACTGTGCCTGGCCCCATACATGGAATTTCTTTTGCAAGATTAATTTTTATAATCCTTCCACAACTTGTTTGAACTTTTAGCTTTATCTTATCTAATTCAAAACAATCCTTTAACCCTAGGCAAAAATTTTCATTTTTTTTTTCAAGTATCTCACTCTGTCACCCAAGCTGGAGTGCAGTGGTACAATCTTGGCTCACTACAACCTCTGCCTCCCCAGTTCAAGTGATTCTTGTGCCTCAGCTTCCCAAGTAGCTGGGACTACAGGCATGCATCACCATGCCCAGCTAATTTTTTATATTTTTAGCAGAGACATGTTTCACCATGTTGCCCAGGCTGGTCTCGAACTCCTGAGCTCAGGCAATCCACCCGCCTCAGCCTCCCAAAGTGCTAGGATTACAGGTGTGAGCCACCATGCCCAGCCAAAAATTTACATTTTACCAATAATCTTTAAGGCTGTTTTTTTGTTGTTGTTGTTGTTGCTGAGATGGAGTTTCACTCGTCACCCAGGTTGGAGTGCAATGGTGCGATCTCGGCTCACTGCCACCTCTGCAGGGAGGAAAAGTGAACATTCCCCTCTTTTTTTTTTCTTTTTTCTTTTCTTTCTTTCTTTTTTTTTTTTTGATGGGACACAAAAATCACTGCTAACAAATGCAAATACAAACACATGGGGACTATACAAAATTTTAGAGCTTCTGCATGGGGAAGAAAAACAGTCATAACAGAAGGCATCCTACAGATTGAAAGAAGGTTTGGCAAAATCATATCTGTGAAAAGGGTTGTTATCTAACATGCACAATAATATACTACTATATAGTAGAATGTACTACTATAACTGGGAAAATGAACAAAACCTAATACCCAATCCAACACTGGGCAAAAAACCTGAAAAGGTGTATCTGAAAAGAAAACTTGAAATTGACTAACAAGTCAAAGACAAATTGCTCAGCTTCACTAATCCTCACACAAATGTATAAGTGCAAACCACACTCAGACACCTCTCACTCTACTTAGAAAGAAACTTAACAAAACCAACAAAAAATCCCCATATGTTCACAGGCAATGGCCAATGTAGATTTGGAGAAAAAGAAACTTTCTTTTTTTTTTTTTTGAGATGGAGTCTTGCTCTGTCACCCAGGCTGGAGTGCAGTGGCATGATCTTGGCTCACTGCAACCTCTGCCTCCCAGGTTCAAGTGATTCTCCTGCCTCAGTCTCCCGAGTAGCTGGGACTACAGGCATGTGCCCCCACACCTGGCTAATTTTTGTATTTTTAGTAAAGATGGGCTTTCGCCATGTTGGCCAGGCTGGTCTCGAACTCCTGCCCTTAGGAGTTCGCCCACCTCGGCTTCCCAAAGTGCTGGGATTACAGGCATGAGTCACCACACCCAGCCAAAAGAAACTTTTATACACTATTGATGGGAATGTACATTACTGTACACATGATGCAAAACAGTTGAAGTTACCTCAAAAATTTAAAATTACAACTACCCTTTCATATAGCAATCCCACCACTGGTTATTCACTGAAAGCACATGAAATCTGTTATGTTGAAGAGATATCGGGCTTCCTATGATGACTGAAGCACTGTTCACAATAGCAAAGACATGGAATCAACCTACCTGTTCATCCACAGATGAAGCAACACAGAAACCACAGTACACAATGGAATTCTCTTCAGCCATAGAAATTCATGAAATCATGTCATCTGCATCAACGTGCAGAAACCTGGGGGATGTGACATTAAAGGAAATGAACCAGATAGAGAAAGACAAACACTGCATGACCTCATTCATGTGAGAATGAGATCAACTTTATCTCTAAACAACTTTATCTCTTAGCAGTAGAAAGTTCAATAGTGGGCCGCATACAGTGGCTCACACTTGTAATCCCAGCACTTTGGGAGGCCAAGGCGGGCAGATCACTTGAGGTCAGGAGTTCCAGACCAGCCTGGCCAACATAATAAAACCCTGTCTCTACTCAAAATACAAAAATTAGCTGGGCATGGTGGTTGGTGCCTGCAGTCCCAGCTACTCGGGAGGCTGAGGCAGGAGAATAGCTTGAACTCAGGAAGCAGAGGTTTCAGTGAGCCAAGATCATGCCACTGCACTCCAGCCTGGGTGACAGAGTGAGACTCCATCTCAAAAAAACCCAAAAAACAAAAACAATAACTTGGCAAATGTAACTAATCACACATACACACACAAAATCAAAACCACCACTCATATTCCATCTCACTCTAGATGGACTGGATACTACAAAAAAAGTTGAAAAATATTAAAAGACAAAACAATGATGTGTGGGTTTTCCACAAAGGAGGAACTTGTCTCCACAGTTCGTGGAAACATAAGCTAGTATACACACTGAAAAAACCACTTGGAGTTTTCTCCAAACCTTAAAACGACAACTACCATTTCATCCAGCAATTCAACTACTAGGTATATATACACAGCACATGAAATCAAGACATGGAAGAGATTATCTGCATTCGCAGGTGGAATCCAGCACTATGCAGACTAGCCAAGATAAGAAATCAGCCTACCTACCTGTCCATCTGCAGATGAAGGGAGAGAGAAGCTGTCCCACATGCAGACACTGGAATACTCTTCAGCCAGAAGAACACAATGAAATCCCATCATGGGAGCCACACGGTTACACCTGGAGGACATGAAGGTAAATGAAATGAGCCAGGAAGAAAGATAAACTTTGCATCCTTTCACTCATGCAGAAGCTGAGAAACTGTATCTCAAAGACCTGGAAAGCATAGCAGTGGTTATCAGAGGTTGGAGGGAAGAGGGGGAGTGAGTAGGGATTAGAAAAGGGTACAAAGTTCCACACAGATGAGAGGAAAGAAATCCTGTTCTTCTATTCCACAGCAGGGTAACCAGGGTTAACAGTATGGTTGCATCTTCAAAATAGCTTGAAAGGAGGATACTGAAGCTTCTTGCCACAAAAGAATAAACAATGGTACAAAATAACAGAGACACTAAATACCCTGATTTCCTCATTCTACAATGTAAGGAAAGACCAAAACATTGCACTCTACCCTCTCATTGTATTCCTTTGCTATTCGGCAAATTTGTTTAAAGAAACTTAAATACATGATGCTAAAATTCACGTGGAACCATGAAACACCCTGAATTTCTTCCAAAGCAATCCTGAGACATCCAGACTATGTGAGATGCATCTCACCCACCGATTTCAAATTTTATGGAAAAGTTAGAGACCCGCTTCCACACAGAGCAGTGGAACACGAGAGAGGACCAAGAGGTAAACTCACACACCCGACTGATCCTCTACAGAATCCACAACAATAAGCAAGGGGGAAAAGATGCCCTATTCAATCAATGATGGTGGGATAAGTGGCTAGTCATGGGTGGAAGAGAAACACTGGGTCCCGACCTCTCGCCAGACACAAAAAGGAACTCCAGATGAATAAAAGATCTAAATGGAAGACCTCAAACTATTAAAATCCTGCAAGAAAACATACAAAATACCTTTCTTCACATAGGTTTTGGCAAAGAATCTATGTGGCTACGTCCCCAAAAGCAATGGCAACAAAAATTGACATGTCAGACCTAATACTGTAAAGAGCTTCCACACAGCAAAAGAAATTAGCAACAAACAGATAGCCTACAGAGTGGGAGAACATGTTCCCAAACTGCATCTGACCAAGGTCTAATATCCAGAATCTTCAAGGACCCTTGCAAATCATTCAGCAAAAACAAACAAACAAAAAAACCCATTAATAAATGGGCAAGGGACGTGAACACACACTTCTCAAAAGACAATGTGCAAGCAACCAACAAAGAGGAAAACATGCTCAAACTCACTCATTAAGAGAGAAATGGAAGTCAAAAGCAGGTTGAGATACCATCCCACACCACTCAGAATGGCAATGACTGTGCAGACAAAGAACAGACCCTGGCAAGGCAGCCAAGGAAAGGAAACACTGATGTGGTCTAGGTGGGGATGCAAACTAGTACAGACACTGTGGAAAGCAGTTTGGAGATTTCTCAAAGAACTTAGAACTACCATCTGACCCAGCAATCCCGCTCCTAGGGATCTACCCAAAGGAAAATGCATCCTTCTGTCCAAAAGACACAGGCACTTTTATGTTCACAGCAGTGTCATGCACAAGGGCAAATAAATGGAATCAACCTAGGTGCCCATCAACAGTGCATAAGATAAAGATGTGATACGTATATACCATAAAACACTAAACAGCCGCAAAAAAAGACAATCACATCTTTGGCAGCTGCAGGCCATTATCCTAAGTGAACTACAGCCAGAACAGACATCCAAATGCCACACATTCTCACTTGTAAGTGGAAACTAAACTATGAATGTACCTGAACATAAAGAAGGCAACAACAGACAGTGAGAGTGACTACTGGACCCCCACAAAAACAATGAGAGAGAGGGGGCATTATATGCTGAAGACCCACCTTGTGGGTCCTCTGCTCACTGCCTGGGTCATGGGGTTGTTGGGACCCCAAGCCCCAGTGTCATGCAGTCAACAGATGTAATTAACCTGTGTGTGTACCCTTTAGTCTATAATAAAAGTAGAAATTATTACACACACACACACAAAGAACAAGCTTAGGAGCTGTATAAACAAAAAAAAATAAGAAAAACCTGTAGTTATCCAAACAATCCTTTTCTGGCAAACACGCAGAAAGATTAACCTATGGACAAAATGAGAAAGCCAAAAAATGCAGCCCAAAATTACATATGGTGAACGCATTTTTCAAGAGAACACCAAATATCACAACAGTGAAGAGAGAAGTTTGCTCTGTAATAGTCTTTGAGTAAAATGGATTTCTACCTGCAAAACAGTGAAATGGGCCCTCACATTACACAGGACACAAAAACCAATGCAAAGTATATTAAAGATCTCCACCCAAACCTGAAAACACAAAACTCCTAGAAGAAAACAGGGTGAGCATTTACTTCAGTAAACCTGAATCTATGCACACAGATTGCCAAAAGGAAAGAAAACAAAAGGGAAAAGTAGGAGGAAGAAACCCATAGACAATGCAATCTTTTTTCCTTTTTTTTTTGTGATGGAACACCCAAACACCATGAACACATGCAAATATAAACATGTAGGACTATGGAAACCTTTAGATGTGTTCCACTGGAATGAAACCAATGAACTGAAAGAGAAGATGTCCTGCAGAGTTGGAGACAGATCTGAAAAACTGTATCTCTGAAAGTGGTTGTTATCTAACATGTCCCAGAAACTAAAACCACTGTGTTTGAAAAAAACAAAACAAACAAAAAAATCCACTAATACCAAAGCTAAAAATGGGCAAAGGCCCTTAATAGACATTTCTGAAAAGATGACATGAATTGACTAAGGAGTCAAAAAGAAGTTGCTCAACTTCATCATTTCTCCCACAAAGGTAAGTCCAAACCACATTCAGATGGGGTCTCGATCCACTTAGAATGAATCCTACCTAAAACAACCCCCCTCAAAATGTTTATAGGTAATGGCCAATGTAGATTTGCAGAGAAATAAACCTTTCAACACTACTAATCAGACTGTATATTACTATGTACACTATAAAAAACAGTTGCAGTTTCCTCTAAAAAGAAAAAAAAAATACAACTGCTCTTTAGTGTAGCAATCCTACCCCTGAATATACACTGAAAGCACTTGAAATGTGTATTTTGGAGAACTATCAGCCTTTGCATGGTGACCAAAGCACTATTTACAGTAGCCAAGATATGGAATCAACCTACTTGTCCATACACAGATGAAAGGATAAGAAACTGCAGTGCACAATGGAATCTTCTTCAGCCATAGAAATTCGCAAAATCACGTTATCTGCAGCCACATGGAGAGACCTGGAAGGCATGATGTTAAATGAAATGAGCCAGGCAGAGAAACACAAACGTGGCATGATCTCACACATGTGCAATCTAAACAACTTTATCTTGTAGAAGTACAAAGTTTAATGGTGGATACCAGAGGCTTGGGGGCAGGGGGCACTAGACAGGGATTGCAAATGGATACAAAGTTACACTTACCTGAGAGGAATAAATTCTCCTGTTCTATTCCACAACAGGATGACTAGTGTAGGCACCAGCCCCACAGGGTCGGTGGGTCTCTCCCCGTGTGCGGAGATGAGAGAGTGTAGAAATAAAGACACAAGACAAAGAGATAAAAGAAAAGGCAGCTAGGCCCAGGGGACCACTACCACCAAGTCACGGAGACCAGTAGTGGCCCCGAATGCCAGGCTGCACTGATATTTACTGGATACAAGACAAAGGGGCAGGATAAGGAGAGTGAGCCACCTCCAATGATAGGTAAGGCCACGTGAGTCACATGTCCACTGGACAGGGGGCCCTTCCCTGCCTGACAGCTGAGGCAGAGAGAGAGACGAGACAGAGAGAGAGAGAGAGACAGCTTATGCCATTATTTCTGCTTACTAGAGACTTTTAATACTTTCACTAATTTGCTACTGCTATCTAAAAGGCAGAGCCTGGTGTACAGGATGGAACATGAAGGCGGACTAGGAGCGTGACCACTGAAGCACAGCATCACAGGGAGACAGTTAGGCCTCCTGATAACTGCAGGCGAGTCTGACTAATGTCAGGCCCTCCACAAGAGTTGGAGGAGTAGAGTCTTCTCTAAACTCCCCCGGGGAAAGGGAGACTCCCTTTCCCAGTCTGCTAAGTAGTGGATGTTTTTCCTTGACGCTTACGCTACCGCTAGACCACGGTATGCTTGGCAACGAGCGTCTTCCCAGACGCTGGCATTACCACTACACCAAGGAGCCCTCTGGTCGCCCTGTCTGGGCATAACAGAAGGCTCACACTCTTGTCTTCTGGTCACTCCTCACTATGTCCCCTCAGCTCCTATCTCTGTATGGCCTGGTTTTTCCTAGATTATGATTATAGAGCAAGGATTATTATAATATTGGAATAAAGAGTAATTGCTACAAACTAATGATTAATTATATTCATATATAATCATATCTAAGATCTATATCTGGTATAACTATTCATATTTTATATTTTATCATACTGAAACAGCTCGTGTCCTTGGTCTCTTGCCTCGGCACCTGGGTGGCTTGCCGCCCACAGACTAGGGTTAACAGTACTGTACCGTATTTTTCAAAATAGCTAGAAGAAAGGGTTTTCAATGTTTTTGCCACAAAGTATTAATAACTATATTAAATAAAGAGATGCTAAATAACCTGATTTGATCATTACACAATGTACACATATATTAAAATGCTCTTGTACACTCTATATACATTTAATATGTGACAAGTAGTTTTTTAAAAGAAATGTAAACAAACGATGGCAAAATTTATATGGAAACATGAAACACCCTAAATTTCCAAAGCTATCCTGAGAAATACAAGCCACAGGGGATGCATCACTCTCCCTGATTTCTAATTACACGGAAAAGCTACACTTATCCAACCCATATGTTACTGGCATGTGCACAGAAACACACACCAAATAGTAAAATGAGAGAGCTTAATAATAAACACAAATTTATTTATAGTGAACACATTTTAAAAAACAACACCAAAATGACACAATGAGGATGAGAGAGTCTGTTCTATAATGGTTTTCAAAACTAGATATCCATATGCAAAAGAATGATATAGGACCCTTATGGAGCTAAATACACAATAATCAACTCAATATGGATGGCAGATAATACACAAAACTTGCAATCATAAAGCTCCTATAAAGAAAATCTAGGGGCCTGGTGCGGTGGCTCATGCCTGTAATCCCAGCACTTTGGGAGGCAGAGGCGGGCGGATCACCTGAAGTCAGGAGTTCAAGACCAGCCTGGTCAACATGGTGAAACCCTGTCTCTACTAAAAACACAAAATTTAGCAGACATCGTGGCATGCACCTGTAATCTCAGCTACTCGGGAGGCTGAGGCAGGAGAATAACTTGAACCCAGGCTGTGGTGAGTTGAGATTGTGCCACTGCACTCCAGCCTGGCCTACAGAGTGAGACTCTGTCTCAAAAAAAAAAAAAAGGAAAATCTAGGGCAACTTGGATGTATGCTCCAAGTTTGCAAGAAGTAACAAAAAAAGAAAAAAAAATCATGGAATACTTTGGTAGTGATTTTGGGTTTTTTTAAATTAGGAACCAACATCACAGGCAACTGAGAAATTATACACATGTGGGACCACATCAAACTTAAGAGTTTGTGTCCAACAAAGGAAACAATGAGGAAAATTTAAAAGCATCTTAAAAATTATTAGAGAAGTTTGGAAAAACATACAGCTGATAAGGGGTTGTTTTTGAAAAGGCACAAGCCAGTAGCAATACAAGCTGGCAAAACCCAAAACAACAGAAAATAACCAAAACAAAATTGGGCAAAGAACCTGAATAGACATTTGTGCAAAGAAGACATGAAACTAACCCAATGTTTACAAAAATGTGGTTAACATTACTGATCATGAGAAAAATGTGGATCAAAACCACACTCAGATTTATCTCATTCTAACTGGAATGAATGTTACAAAAAGATAAAAATACTACAAAAGACAAATGCTGGTGGGGATTTCCAGAAAGGGGAACTGTTCATGGGAATGTAAATTAGTGTTCACACTATGAAAAACAGTTGGAGGTTCCACAAAGAATGGAAACTACAAATACCATACCATCTAACAGTCCCACTAATGGGTATATATTCAAAACAAATGAAATCTGTATTTTTGAGAGTCAGCTGCCTTCCAGTGTTTCTTCTAGCACCATTCACAAAAGCCAGGATACCTGATCATCCACAGATGAAAGGATTGAGAAATTCTAGTATATATACACAAAGAATACTCTTCAGCCATCAAACTAATAGCATTATGTCATTTGGAGCAACACAGATCAACCTGGAAAACATTATGATAAATGTAAGGGATAAATGAAGGGAGGATTTTGAATGTTCTTTCTACCCAAAATTAATACCTGTATGAAAGAATAGAGATGTTAAGCACCCTGGTTTGATCGTTACCCAATGTATACATTTATCAAAATGTACCAGCATACCCCCTTATTGTGGACCTTTGTGATGTTAAAAAAAGCAAAAGTTAACATAAGTGAATACCAGTTGCTAAAAATCACAGGGATTCACAAAAGCTCTGAATATCTAAAGGAATCTTGAGAAGTACAATGAAAGTATGAGGACAATCTCTGATATCAAATTACATTGCAAATCTATAGTTATGCAAAATATGTGATACTTGCATAAAAGCAAAAACCTACAGCCATGGGCAAAAAACAAACAAACAAACAGGCAAATAATCAACCCAAATGTATAGTCAACTGACTTTCACAAGGAACACTGCAAAGACATAATGTAAAAGGCAGAGTCTGCTCAATAAATGACTATGAGAAAAATTATATCCATATGCAGAAGAGAGAAAAAGAACCCTTATTTTACATGATGTACAAAATTCAACCCAAAAAAGATCTAAGACCAAAACACAAGACCTTAAACAATAAAATACCTTTAACAGGAACATAGGTTGAATGTATACTTTGGGCTACGTGAATCTGTGTTCAACCTGGAAAAATGGAAAAGAAACACAAAAAACATCCTGAAGTTGGCGGGGTCAGGGGGGAAACTCATTGTCAATGGGATGCTTTGACACTGATATATTTTTTAATTGGTGACCAAAATCACATGTATCAAATGTAAAAATAAACATGTTAGACTACATCAAACTGAAAAGTTTCTGCACAGCAAAGAAAACTATCTTCCAAATAAAAAAGCATCCCAAAGAATGGGCCAAAATTTCAGGCAAGTATATAACTCACAGGAGTTCTTCTGGAACCTGTATACAGAAAGAAACGCTATGCAGTGGCAAAAAAAAAAAAAAAAAAAAAAAAAAAAAATCTAATATTTGGCAAGGAAACTGAATAGACCACTTTGAAAAAACAAACAAATAAACACACACACATACAAAGCTGACCAACAGGTAAAAGAAAAGGACCTCAATATCACTATTAATTCCACAAATGTAATTAACAACCACATTCAGATAATATTTCACTATTATTGAAATAAATATTGCTAAATGAATGAAGGTTTCTAAAAATAAGAATTATGGTGTGGATTTGGAGAAAGGGGTGCTCATACCCTGTAGGTGGGAATGAATATTAGTAAACTGTGGAAAAGAGTTACAGGTTCCTCAAAGAATTGAAAATACATATACCATATGATTTAGCCATCTCCCTTCTGGGTATACATTCAAAATAAATGAAATCTGTATTTTCTGAAATCTGCCTTCCTAGGTTTCTTGCAGCATCATTCACAAAAGCTACGTTTATGGAATCAATCTAGCTGTCTATCCACAGATAAATGGATCAAGAATCTCTAGTATATATATATATGACAAAACACTTCCGTCATCAAAATAATGACATCATGTCACTTGAAGCAACAGGGTTGAACCTGGAAAACGTTATGTTAAATGAAATATGCCAGGCCTGGAAAGATAAACAGTGGATGATATCACTCAAATCTACAAAAAAGATTATCATAAAGAAGCAGAAGGGACAATATTGGTTACCAGAGGCTGGGGGATAGATGGGGAATAGGAAGGATTGGTTAAGAAAACAAAGTTACTCTCACATGAAAGGAATAAATTCTAGTGTTCTATTTCACAGCTCAGTCACTTTGGTTAACAATTTTGTAGTTTTTGGCTGAGCACGGTGACTCATGCCTGTAATACCAGCACTTTGGGAGGCCAAAGCAGGTAGATCACCTGAGGTTAGGAGTTTGAGACCAGCCTGGCCAACATGGTGAAACCCCATCTCTACTAAAAATACAAAACATTAGCTGGGTGTTGTGGCAGGTGCCTGTAATACAGCTACTCAGGAGGCTGAGGCAGTAGAATCGCTTGAACCCAGGAGGTGGAGGTTGCAGTGAGGTGAGATCGCGCCATTGCACTCCAGCCTGGGCAACAGGAGTGAAACTCGATCTCACACACACAAAAAAATTTTGTAGTTTTCAAAAGAGATAAAAGGGAAGAATTTGAATGTTCTCTCCACACAAAAATAATATATGTATTAAGGAATAAAGATGCTAAGTAGCTGACTTGTTCATTACTCAACATATACACGTATCCAAATATCCCAGTGTAGCCCTAATTATCAGGCTTCATGATGTGCAAAAAAAAAAAAAAAAAAAGAAAAGACATGAAACTTAACACTTATGAATACACAATGCTAAAAATCACAAGGACCCACAACAAGTCCTGAATATCCAAAGGAATCCTGAGAAATAAAGTCAAAATATGAGGACCCACAATCCTCAATATCAGATTACATTGCTAAGCTGTATTTACACAAAATATGTGGTGTTTGCATACAAACAAAAGCCTAGAGCTAGGGACGAAAACAGGGAGGACAAAAAAAAATTAATTATCAACCCAAACCTATACATAGTCAACTCACTTTGACAAAGGATACCACAAAGACACAATGTGGAAGGCAGAGGCTGCTCAATAAAGAATTTTGGGCTGGACACAATGGCTCACGCCTGTAATCCCGGCAGTTTGGGAAGCTGAGGTGGGCAGATCACAAGGTCAGGAGTTCAAGACCAGCCTGGCCAACATAGTGAAACCCCATCTATACTAAAAATACAAAAAATTAGCTGGGTGTGGTGGCAGGCGACTGTAATCCCAGCTACTCGGGAGGCTGAGGCAGGAGAATCGCTTGAACTGGGAGGCAGAGGTTGCAGTGAACGGAGATCACCTCACTGCACTCCAGCATGGGCGGCAGTGCTAGACTCCATCTCAAAAAAAAAAAAAGAACTTTGACAAAAATGATATCCATATGCATAAGACAGATATAGGATGCTTATTTCACACAATGAAAGAAAATCAGCCCCCCAAAATTAAAGGCCAAAACAAAAGACCATAAACCATAAAACTTTTGTAACTAAAACACAGGTTGAGCCACACGAATCTCTGCTCACCTTTGCAAAGAGTAAGAGAAACAAACAAAAAACACCTTGGGAGAAAAATCTCTTTGGCAACTGAATACTTTTCCTTCTGCTGACATATACTTTATTTTATGGGTGACCAAAATCACATGTATCAAGCACTAAAAAGAAACGTGGACTACATCAAACTTAAAAGTTTCTGCACAGCAAAGAAAACTACCTTTCAAATAAAAAATCATCCTAGATATTAGGTGAAAATTTCAGGCAATAATATAGTTTATGAGGGGTTGTGAAATGTGTACACACAGAAAACACTTCAAAGTGCAAAAAAATCCAATCTAATATTTGGCAATACACCTGAATAGACAATTCTGCAAAGAAGACATAAAATTGAACAACAGGTAAGAGAAAAGATGTTCAAGGCCCGGAGCAGTGGCTCACACCTGTAATCCTGGCACTCTGGGAGGCCAAGGCAGGTGAATCACTTGAGGTCAGGAGTTTGAGATCAGCCTGGCCAATTGGTAAAACCCTGTCTCTAGTAAAAATACAAAAATTAGCTGGGCATGGTGGCGCATGCCTGTAATCCCAGCTACTCAGGGGGCTGAGGCAGGAGAATGGCTTGAACCTGGGAGGCTGAGGTTGCTGTGAGTCGAGATCGCGCCACTGCACTCCAGCCTAGGCAACAAGAGCGAGCCTCTGTCTCAAAAAAAAAAGGGGCTGAGGACTTGGTCTTGCCAGAGGCAGCTTCTGGTTGTGCGGCACTGGCTGAACCTCTGTCCAGTCCCAGGAGTGGACAAAAGGCCACGGGTATCCCATCCTGACGGGTTCTAGGGCCCTAGAGGTCGCAGGAGCGCTCCCCGTGACCCCACTCCTGAGGTCGGCTCCTTTTCCCTGGGTAGCCCCCAGGACATGCCCCTGCCCTCCTCTGGACCTCAGCTTCGCCATCCACAAAAGGAAGCAGCCTGGCCAGAGCTGGGGAGGGTCCCTCAATCTCGGTCCCTCAGGATCCAGGGTGGGCTGTCTTGGCCCCACTGCAGAGGGGACCCAGAGAACCACGGAAAGCTGGGTGCTGGAGGGGCAGTCCCACGATGGCAGCAGGGCTTCCCCGGCCTCGTGTCTGCATCCGTCCTGTGAGAGCCTGAGGGCCTTGCTAGGGGCTCAGACACACGCGGTTCCCACCAGGGCTGCCTTGGTCACTGGGCTCCCTAGAAGGCAGGCAGGGGCCCTGGGGACCAGTGCTACCCCCACTCCATCCCCACCCCTCGTCAGTTCCCACGAGGGGCCCTGCGGACTGAACTCAAACCTACCCCTTCCCGGGGAGAGGGACCTGCATCTGCCTGTGTGACACCCACAGGAGGGGCTGTGCTGGCCTGTCCCGGGGATCCCTCCCCGACAGCTGAGTGTCAACTCCCACTTCCCCACCCCCAATCTGAATCCCTGCCCTCATCCCTGCACCTTTCAGGATCAGGCCCTTGATACACCTCTCACTCTCTGCCCAGGGCAGCCCTGAGGGCCAGGAAGGCCCAGATCTCCCTTCTCTCCCTGTCCCATGGGGGCCCGATCAGTCCAATGAGACCTGGGTGCCCCTAGAGAAGGGAGCAGGTGGTCAGGGGGACACAGAGAAGAGTCATGTAGGTGGGAGAGAAGGGCCAAGACACAGAGAGGGACCGGGCACAGGATCTGTGAGTGGCCCTCCCTGAGCAGGGACCCCAAGGCCTGGCTGCTGGAGGCCTGGAGCAGAGCAGGGGCCCTCGGGGTCACACAGGTTTCAGGGCTGAGGCTGATTGGAGCGACACCTGGCCGTGTGTCTGTCATTCACCTTCACTACTTCATCCCTCCACATGCCCATGGGAAGGTCCTTTGGAGCACCTGTTGTGTGCTGGGCTCAGTGCTACACACCAGGGATGCAAAAATGAATGGGAGAAGCCCCCTCTGCTCACCAAGTTCCATGTCTAATGTGAGTATTCTTAACTGTGGGACCCCGAGAATTATGGACAACTTCATACATGAGTGTGAGGAGTAGCTTTATTCTGGGGGAAAACCTGGTGACTTTCATCACTTTTTTTTTTTTTTTTTTTTTGAGTAGGAGTTTCGCTCTTGTCACCCAGGCTGGAGTGCAGTGGCGCCATCTCAGCTCACTGCAAACTTCACCTCCTGGGTTCAAGCGATTCTCCTGCCTCAGCCTCCCGAGTAGCTGGGATTACAGGCATCCACCAGTATGCCCAGCTAATTTCTGTATTTTTAATAGAAACGGGGTTTCACCATGTTGGACAGGCTGGTCTCGAACTGTGACCTCAGGTCATCCACCCGCCTCAGCCTCCCGAAGTGCTGGGATTACAGGCATGAGTCACCGCGCCTGGCCTCATCACATTTTCAAAAATGTCCATGGTCTATGAAAGGCTTAGCAACCTTAAACCTAGAGGGCTCTACACCCAGCTCTGTGAGCCTGGGCAGGCTACTGCAACTATTGTGTTCCTGTATGTGAACCACAAGCCCACTCCATGGAGTTATTACAAAGATGACATAGCCTGTAGTGCAGGCCTCACAGGGTGGAAATGAGGTTGAAGGGAGGAGAGGAATTAGAGGGTGCTCTTGCCTGGCTCTTCTTCAGAGGGATGATGGTGAGAACAATGGTGATAGCTACAGAAATCTGAGTTCTCAGGATGATCTATGAGGTAGTTGTTGTTTCCATCGCATTTTACAGATGAGAAAACAGTCTCAGGGGGGCCCGGGCTCCATGCCCAGTGACACACCCAGTGAGTGTGGAGCTGAGCCTGAATCTAAAATCAGAGCTGTCTGGGGGCAGTGGGAGCACTGTGCCAGCTGGCTCAAGCCAGTCCCCTATGGTACAAGGGCAAGGTGGCTGGGGCATAACTGGGGGAGGAGAGGAGAGCCTCACTGTCTTTGTCCCTGACCTGGCAGGTAGGGATCTTTAAGGTGGCTACCCAGGAGTGAAACTTCCAGAGAGCTCAGATGAGGGTGCAGAGGTAGAAGGCGAGTAAGCCTGTGACATGGAGGGGCTGCTGGGGTTCAGAGGATAGGGATCCTCCCTCCCAGCTGGAGGCCTCCACATCAAGACAGCAGAGGCTTCCTCCCCAGCCCTGCCCTCCTATGGCCAAAGGCCCTGAAACACCTCCATTCAAGAGACCAGAGCAAGGGCCTGGGAGAGCTGGGCTCAGTGTGGATGTGGGGAAGGGTGGGCTTGGGGCCACATTACCTTGTGATTTGTTAAAATCCCACCATAGAGGTAACTAGGGGGTGCTTGGTGGCCCTGGAGGGATTCTGAGGTTCTCCTGTCCCACAGCTGAGTTTGTCTTTCCCCACCTTGTGAAGCTTGACTTCTCCTTCATCCCCCTAGGAAGGAAGCCAAGAGCTCACTCTGATGCTCAGTCCCTCAAGAAAACCTCTTGTACCCTTTCCATTTTAAAGGGTTTCCCCAAGAAACCATGACTAGTCTAAGTAACAGGAGACTGAGTTTTCACATGAACATGGCATTTCCTATTCCTAGCAACATTATCTGAAGATAAATGTTAGATGTCATCAGGGACAGTTGGAGTGATATCCCCCAACTCTGCCTGCAGACCTCCTTCTCAATTTCCTACCAGACCTGGGTGTTGCATGTTGCTGTGCCAGGGTCTAACCACAAAGGAATGAGCCCTGCTCCACTCTCACTGTGTGTGCATCCATCGAGTCAGTGGCTGGTCATGCTCACACCAGCCCCTGACAGTGGGACAGTCCATCCTGGGGTTCAGCACATGGTGAGTGCTGAGCCTCACTAACCTAGCTGTGCGGGAGATCTCCAGCTAGGGTGATGGGCACCAGGCTAACAACAAGGTTGTGTCTGAGTTCTGATGCAGTGGACCTTGTCCGTCTGCTATGGATTGGAGCATTTCTTTGGCTTGAGGTGGTCATGTTATTAAATACAATACAGTATCTTCCTGATTCTTCCCTGCTTTGACCAAGTGCTGAGGAATGACCCCAGCACGCACAGATGTTGACCTACACTGTTCTATGTGGGGCCATACACTTCTCAGAATCTGTGAGCTGACCAGAAGCCTGTGGGCTTTCTATGTGTATTTCACAGTAATGACCATGCCAGTGTCTGTTTTTCCCTGTACCTTTTGCTACCCTGGGTTATGTGACCACTGGGCCCACCTTATGATGATGGGCAATGCTTGGCATGTTTATAGGCTGTCACAGTTCCAGGTGTACTCATAGATCCTAGAACTCCCTGTTGTGGGAACACCTTATCCCATGCCTGAGTGATCACACCGTTGAGGAACAGGGCGTCAATACTGGGACCCATTTCTGGGTTCATGTTTTCCTCCTCTATTCAGGTGTCAAAATCTGGGTTTATTCTTTTCTGCACCATCTCCATTTAAGGAGTAGAGATATTAAACTGACCTTCAGGTACAGCTGTGGTGAGGGAGGAAAGAGGTGATTTATGTGAAGTGTATGGTGGTGTTCGTTTTTTTTTTTTTATTAGAAAAATGACATGATTGAGGTTTGAGGGTCACTATAGGACAGGAATTCAAGAAAAGTGACACTTGTACTGTGCTGTGCATGTGGGTCCACATTTCCTGGGGGAAACACACACATTGACAAACACATTCACAATCACCACACATTAACTCACCCTTAGTTACTTCCCAACCCTCCTGCATACAAACCCACACCATCTAAATGATATGGCTGTTTCCAGAGACTATAGTGGATGGTCATAGTTCTTTATTGGGACTTCTGTTTCTCACACCACACCCCAGATCCTCACTCCTATCAGGAAGCTGAAGCCAGGAAGGGTCTCCAGACAAAAGCAGGCAAGAGAGTTCCTCCTTTCTCATCACTTAGATTTGTTGTCAGCAAGGGAGTGCTCTTAGAATACGTACGGTGTTTTTTGGCTGTGAACTCCACCTGCAATGGGAGAAAGGAAAACACCCTGTGGATCAGATCATGCCATGTCCTGTTTGCACAGGTCTTTTATTCACTTGGTGACATTAGAGAACCAGATGGCAAAAAGTGGCCTAGGCACCAGCCCTATCATAAAGTATAGAGGATGCTTGTGGAAAAGGCAGTCGGTTTTCATGGAATGTTTTGCAAGTCCATGTTGACTGGAAAATACAAAACGTTTTCTCAAGAAGAAAAAGTTGCTACTGAGAAATATGCTCACTACCAGACAGTTTGTAAGTGGTGCTGTCATTTTTGACTCTGTCATCCATCAGGCCTCAGTTGGTCATGGACTCTAGCTAAAGGTCACTAAAGGTCACTAGAGCCCATGACCAACTGTGGCCTGATGAACGATGAATATCAAGTGCAAATGATATTCACTTGATATTCCCCCTCACCAAGAAAATTGTATTTGTCATCTATAATGTACATAGTCAGATTTTTTTATTTTTTTATTTTATTTTTATTTTAGATGGGGTCTCGCTGGCTCACCCAGTCTGGCGTGCAGTGATGTAATCTTGGCTCACTGCAACCTCCACCTCCCGGGTTCAAGAGATTTGCCTGCCTCAGCCTCCTGAGTAGCTTGGACTACAGGCATGCACCACCACGCCTAGCTAATTTTTGTATTTTTAGTAGAGATAGAGTTTCACTGTACTGGCCAGTCCGGTCTCAAATTCCTGACCTCAAATGATCTGCCCACCTCGGCCTGTACTGGGATTACAGGCGTGAGCCACCATGCCCAGCCATGGTCAGATTTTCCTATCTTCATTTCATTAATAAGGAAAGAAGCCCCTGAAAAAACATTTCTTTTCCAGACAAGGAAATGCAACTTACCTTGATAGATGACACTTCCTCCTCTGGATTATCACCTGCACACTCCTCCTGTAGGTCTAGGAGAACATAGAGTGACAGTTGGTGCATTTGTGCTGTTGAGGAATCCTACAAAAGGAGCCTTGGGGGATGTGGACCAGGGCTGGAGTATATGGAGGTGGGTGGTTGACAAGCATGGACTGAGCTGCTCCCGGGCCATTCTCCTTGGTGGTGAAGGAAGGAAAATGAGAGAGTCAGAAAGAAATGAAGACAGAACCTTGGCTTTCTAGTGAGGGCAACTTCATCCATGTGAAATAGTCACCTTAAGAACCAGTCTGTAATCTCAGCATTTTGGGAGACTGAGGCAGGTGGATCACTTGAGGTCAGGAGTTCAAGACCAGCCTGACCAACACGATGAAACCCCATCTCTACTAAAAATACAAAAATTAGCAGGGCGTGGTGGTGTGCACCTTTAATCCCAGCTACTCGGGAGGCGGAGGCAGGAGAATGGCGAGAACCCGGGAGGCAGAGCTTGCAGTGAGCTGAGATTGCGCCACTACACTCCAGCCTGGTGACAGAGTGAGACTCCGTCTCAAAAAAAAAAAAAATTGAATAATAATTAACTTTTCAAAATAAAAACAAAAAACACTACATCCTGATTGTTTCACTGGTAAATTCTACCAAATTCTTACCAAGAAAAATCGAGTCTTACCATGCAAGCAAGTAATCATAAAATCCTAGGTATTCCTTAGTTTTATATTTTAAAAATTGTGTTTACAAAAATGATACAGGAAGGTTTATAATATCTGTATTCATACTTGCCCAAACTGAAAGCAAATATCTAAACATTTAAGATGTTCTTTACTATTAAAAGTGAACTGGCCGGGCGCGGTGGCTCACGCCTGTAATCCTAGTACTTTGGGAGGCCGAAGCGGGTGATCACGAGGTCAGGAGATCGAGACCATCCTAGCTAACACGGTGAAACCCCATCTCTACTAAAAATACAAAAAAATTAGCCGGGTGTGGTGGCAGGTGCCTGTAGTCCCAGCTACTCGGGAGGCTGAGGCAGGAGAATGGCGTGAACCTGGGAGGTGGAGCTTGCAGTGAGCCGAGATCGCGCCACCGCACTCCAGCCTGGGCGACAGAGCTAGACTCTGTCTCAAAAAAAAAAAAAAAAAGTGAACCAAGCCTGGGCAACATGGTGAAACCCCATCTCTACCAAAAAAAGAAAAAAAGAAAAGAAAAATTGAGTGAGCATGATGGCACATGCCTTAGTCCTAGCTATTCTCGAGGCTGAGCTGGGAGGATCACCTGCCCCTGGGAGCTCAAGGCTGCAGTAAGCCATGATTGCACCACTGCACTCTGGGGTGACTGAGTGAGTCCCTGCTTCCAAAAAACAAACAAACAAACAAAAAAGTGAACCAAACTTTAAGTTGTCAATATATTTTTACTTGTGTAGTTGTACCACTATTGATTGACTTAATACATTTAAATTGGCGTGCATAAAATAAATGAAGAACATGGTATAGCATTTATTGAGTTATGTCTCTAATATGGGGCACTGAATAAATAAGCTGAAATAATTTGCCTAAATGAACTTAATGATTAAATTTTCACACTACCTTCATGTTCACCAGGGAGAATTTTTTCCCATAGGCAGATTTTTTTCACCCACTATTTGAAGTGGCAACTGATCTTTGAAGCCAATGTGGACAGCTTCTTGCATCTTCATTTCAAGATGCTAGAAAATGTGTTATAATAAAGACAGCTCTTGACATCTTGCTGGCAGATGACCACAGAGAAATTAGTAAAAACTTATTCACAGATCAAACTTTTGATCCCATTTTTCACCATCTGCTTTTCAATGTCACCTGAAGCAGAGTTGGACGCTAGGAAGATCTTGCAAGGTTGATTGCACTTAAAGCCAGACTGACTGTGCAGGCAGATGCATTTATTTAGATGAGACAATATAGAAAGGCAGCAGATCCAAGTCACCAAGAATGGCCTGGGTTCAAATCCTACTTAGAATCTGCACATACCTGGGAGAGAGATATGAACCCCTCTGTGCCTCAGTTTCCTATTCTGAAATGTGGAAATGTTAGTATGGTCTATGCTATGGCATAGGGCTAAAATGGATGAAATACAGATAAAGCCTTCAGAAGACTCATGCCTTGTAAATGCCCAATCATTCAATGTCTGGAAGAATAATCCAGATACTCAGTAGTGGTTGAATACAGAGAGGGAGCTTGCATGGCTCCTGGGCAGGGGCGGATGGAAAGTGACTTCACCCTTTGTGTGGGCATGATGCTTTCCAGCTCATGGAGGAGATCTGTGATTTCCCATGATCCCCACATCAGCCCCGAGAGATGGGCAGAGCAGGGGCTACAACTTATATTTTCCAAATCAGCGAGTTAAAATGTAGACATTTTGAGTGACTTTCCCAGAGTTACCACAGTGAAGAGTAATAGATCTGGGAAAAGAATGTAGTTGCTTCCCTGGGGATGGAGACCCCTGAACACCTGAGTCCTCTAGATCATGCCTTGGACTCTGAACCAAGAGCTCTTCTCACAAGATTTGTCAAATCTTGCTGCTCCAATATTTCTTTGGGATGACTGATGCCCTGGAAGAGGTGGCAGTTGGCTTACTGCACTTACCGACCTGCTCTATTCTTCCTGTGCTGTTGCTTTTATTAGTTTTATGGCCCATAAGACAAACATTTAAAGTCTCTTAGTTATGATGCATGGTCTGAGGTTTTATCTAAATCCACTGTTTCCACCCATCAGGTGATTCTCATCTGCTGGCCTGGAGCTGGCCTGCCATATAAGAGGACACACAGTATACCATGGAGCTGCTTATGTGCCCCAGTCCTGTGCACACTCATGCATTGCTTCTGCTTTCTCAGCTCTGACAATCCTAATTCTGGCTTCCAAACCAATTCTGTACTTCCCTCTCAGTTCTCAGACTTGCCTGAACTGTTTTACATTTTAATCAATATTTTAGTGACCGTGACTGAGCTGTGACATTTCATATATCATAGTATATTTTTATCCCTTTAAATTTTTCTTAATAGCATTTAACTTTATTTTTCTGGCTTTTAGGAACATTTCTGGGCTACGTGTGCTGGCTCATGGCTGTAATCCCAACATTTTTGGAGGCCGAGGCAGGAGGATTGCTTGAGGTCAGAAATTTGAGACTAGCCTGAGCAACATAGTGAGACCTCATCTCTACAAAAAAAAAAATTAATTATCCAGGTGTGACGGTGTGCTCTTGTAGCCCTAGCTACTTGGAAAGCTGAGGTGGGAGGGTCACTTGAGCCTAGGTGTTTGAGGGTGCAGTGAGCTATGATCATGCCACTGCACTCCAGCCTGGGTGACAAAGTAAGAACCTGTCTCTTAAAAATAAAAAGCATTACTGGGTTACAAGTATCTCCATTTTATTTCTCACTAATCCTGAGGCTTAATTACTTTAATACACTAAAGGAAAGTTAAAAAAAGGTAGTATGCAAAGAAGCCCATATGCACCGTTTTATAAATTCTAGTTTTGTATGCCATATATCTAGAATTTACCTTCTTGATCTACTGAGTCTAATTTTTTCAAACCTTGAAAAACTCAGTATATGCTTCTTAGAACCAGTCTTCTGTTATGTAACACAAGTATCATTCCTATATTACACCTAACTCGAAACATTCTGATGATCAAATAAAATGCAAGAGTAGTCTATATACTACATAATGCTCAATAAATTACAAAGGCTCAGGGGTGGTGGTTGGTGCCCCAACCCTTGCATTGTTTACGGGTCCACTGCACAGTATCTGGGGCCAAGACAGCATTGCTGGGTGCCCCTCCCCCCACACTTCCAGAGCACGCATGCAATGTCTGTTATAGACCATGTCAGTGAGCCCCACGCAGGTCCCAGAAACCCAACTTGAATGGCCTCAGACAAGGGGAGAATTATTACCTTGAATAACATGGAATCCAGGTGTGGGGTGCTCAGGGCCACCTGAAGCCAGAGGCCCGGCCCCTTTTCTATTTGCCCTATCTTTGACCTCGCATTGACTGGCTTCCCTCCTGGAGGCAGACAGCTCCGGCAGAGCAGAGCCTCACCCCGGCACTCAATGCCATCCAATGAAGGAGGAGGCTGAGACCAGGATCCCAGAAGACATAGAGAGGTCTTCTCTGTGGACCACACAGAGAGGTCCATTCCTGATGACCAGGACCAGGACCCAGGCCTAACTGCCTTCCTTGGGGCACTACCAGAGGATGGGTGGTGCAGGCCTCAAGCCTAGGACAGCAGCTGACCACCACCCCCTCACCCATCCCCTAACCCCCAGGCCAGGGACAGTGAAGATTCCTGAGTGAGCACCACCCAAGAACCAAACAAAAATTCTAGCAAGGAGAACATATTCGGCAGAACTCTGGGGAGATGTGGCAGGAAGCAGGTCCCAGGCCTCTGGTGTAAGGGCTTACAGGAACCCAGAGGTCTCCCCATCCAGCCTAAGGCCACCTGGGCTGCTCCCTAGGACCAATTGACTGAGGAAGAAGCAATCTGAGCCTGTTTACAGCTGGGTCTGCAAGACGTGCTGGTGACACCTGAAGGTGGCCAGCTGCAGCACTGCTGCCCCACTCAGGGTGCCCTGAACGACAACAGGGAAGGTCGGCTTTCCTGGGGCAGAAGACTGAGGGGGATATTTCACTGGTATCTTGGTCTGGGTTGAGAGACCGCAAGAAATATGGACCACAGTGACTCATGAGGAGTTGCTAGAGGTTTGGCTGGATAATCAGGGCCTCAGAAAGATCAACGATCAGATTTGAAAAATAATGAAAGTAGCCAGGCACGGTGGCTCATGCCTGTAATCCCAGCACTTTGAGAGGCTGAGACGGGAAGATCACTTGAGACCAGGAGTTCAAGACCAGCCCGCTTAACATGGTGAAACCCTGTCTCTACTAAAAATAACAAAAATTAGCCAGGCTTGGTGGTGTGTGCCTATAATCCCAGCTACTCAGGAGGCTGACACAGGAGAATCGCTTGAACCTGGGAGGTGGAGGTTGCAGTTAGCTGAGGTCGTGCCACTACACTCCAGCCTGAGCGACAGAGCAAAACTCCATCTCAAAAAAAAAAAAAAAAAAAAAAAGAAAGAAAGAAAATTAATGACAAGAAAAAAAAGAAAGAAAATTAATGACAAGAAAGAGTGGGAAGGGGCATAGGGCTGGGCCTCTCAGAATGGACATTATGAGCAGACCCCGACATTCCATATAAACGCTCACCACATGGCACAAGAACACTCTCTGCAGAGGAGGTTTCAATAATCAGGTGGACAAAATGACACATTCCATAGATGTCAGTCAGCCTTGTCCCCCAGTCATCCCTGTGTTTGCCCAGTGGACTCATGGACAGAGGGCCAGTCATGGTGGCACACATAGAGGCTGTTCATGAGCTCATCAGCGTGGCTGCCATGGCTTAGATGTGGTTTGTCCCCTCCAAAAATCATGCTGAAATACAATTCCCAATGTGACAATGTTGGGAGGTGGGGCCTGGTGGGAGGTATTTGGCTCATGGGGCCAGATCCCTTGGGAATAATGTCCTCCATTGGAGTGAGTTCTTGCTCTCACGGGAATGGATTTGTTCCCTCAAGAACAGGTAGTTACAAAAGAAGAGTCTGGCTTCCTCAGTTTTTCTCTCTTGCCTCCTCTCTCTTGCCATGTTGTCACTTTGCCTGCTCCCCTTCCGTCTTCTGTCATGAGTTGAAGCAGCCTGGGCCGCTGACCAGATGCAGCTACCCACTCTTGAACATTCCAGCCACCAGAACAGGGGACCAAATAAACATCTTTTCCTTATAAGTTACTCAGCCTTGGGTATTTTGTTATAACAACAATAAATAAACTAAGACAGAAAATCTCCCTCTTCCCAAGGCTGACCTGGCTACCACTGACACCAAGTGCCCAATCTGCCAAGAGCAGAGACCAACATGGAGTCCCCTATATAGCACTAATGCTGGGACCAGCCAGCCTCCTGCTGGCAGATTGATTCCATTGGCAGCTTCTATCGTGGAAGGGACATGAATGCTTGATGTGGATTTTCTGTCCCTGCTTGTAATGCTTCTTCCAGCATCACCATCTCTAAGTTCCTGCGATCCTTACCCACCACGGTGGCATTTCCCACAGTGTTGTGTCTAATCAGGGAACTCATTCCACTGTAAAAGAAGTGCAGCATGAAATTAACTGGTCTCACCATGTACCCATCGCCTGGAAGTGGCTGGCCTAATTAAAGGTGGAGTGACTTGCTGAAGACTCAGTTATGGCATGAATTATTGAGAGACAGCACCCTGACATATGGGAGTCTTGTCTTAAGGATGCAGTCTATGTTTTGAATCAAGACCATGATGTGGCACAGTGTTTTAAGGGTGCCTTGAATTTGTTTTTAAACAGGTATGGCAAGACAGGCAGACACAGAAATGACTGGTATAAAGAAAAAAGCTTGTTATACTCATAGATTTCAAGAAAAGGGGACATACTGTGCCACACAAGGCCATACAGGGAAGCACAAGGGTGGTCAGGAGGCGGAAGACAGGAATCTGTATTGTGGTTTCCCCTGGGAAGGAACAGGGGAAGCAAAGCAAGCAGGTTTAGGATTGGCTAGTTTGAATACTTTTGGTGGGCTCGTAGGCACAGGGACAGACAACTAGATACTTAGTTTTCTGGTACCTGGACTTGGAATGATGAGGGCAGGTGGATAGTGGCCCAGAGTGTGAGAGCCCAGTAAAGAAAGGGCTTCAGGCTATGAGCTCTGAATTGGTTGGTTTGCACATGAAAGGCACACTCTTTGCCATCTCTAGGAATTAGCTAACCCTGGGAGGGGTAGTGCCTATAGGGGCACCCTGCAGGCCTCCCTTCCTGTGGTGGCTGAGGTGGAATGGCTTGGCTCATGGGGTTGGAATAAGCAGTGACCTCATAGAGCAGTAATTCCCACTGCCTGGCTGCAGACCACTGGGCTGCTCCCTGGTTGAGAATTACCAAAAGGGTCCCCCAACCGAAAGCAGTCACCACCTCACACCTAGAACAACAGTTACTCAGCTAGCTTGACCAGAGGCACTTGTTCACCATGAGTGCTTCCTCCTGGGTCCTGGAATTTGGCCCTACATCTCAGGGCCTTTCTTTGGTCGACTTCCCTCTCATTCTATGTGTGAGCCTTGTTTCCCAAATCTCAGCAGCCTAAATATCACAACCTATGGTATAATAGGTGGGAAATGAGGGTGGCCCCTGCAAGAGCAAAGCCATTACACTTAGCCCAATTATTAGAAATGCTCGTTCCCTGGTGCCACGAAGAAATAGCACTCGAACATAAATTTAATTTTCTCAGCAAGGCAATTTTTACTTCTATAGAAGGGTAGCACTCGTGAATAGAGTAATGGCAAGAGCACACCTGGACAGGGAAGGGAAAGGAGTTCTTATTCCTGATGCAGGTAGCCCCCACTGCTGTGTCTTTCCCCTATCGGCTAGGGTTGGACCACACAGTCTAAGCTAATTCTGATTGGCTATTTTAAGGAGAGCAGGGGTATGAGCCAAAGTGGCAGGGTGAGTAGTTTGGCAGGAAGGATGGTTAGGATCAAGTAACTCAAGGTGACTTAGGTCAGAGTGGGTGAGCAGGGTGACTCAGGTCAAAGCAGGTGACTGGGATGAGTCAGGATGGAGCAGGTGGCCAGGGGAACAGAGGTGAACTACTGATTAGGACTGGCCGGAAGGTTGTTTACTGAAACTAGAAGCAAGGGGGAGAAGAGAACCAGGAAGTTAAACTTTAAAATGGAGAATCAAAGAATAAAAGAGTTGAACATACTGACATACTGATTCTTTGAAGAGAAACTTGGGGTTCACTATATTTAACACTTGGTTGCCAAAACCCCCTTATGGCAGCAACAGACTGCTGAGCACCGAAAATTCATCTCCTTTTCCATGGTGTATTCTTTTTTCTTTTTCTTTTCTTTGTCTTTTCTGATTGATTGATTGTTTGTTTGTTTGTTTGTTGTGAGACAGGGTCTTGCTGTATCACACAGGCTGGACTGCAGAGGTACATCCATAGCTCACTGCAATCTCAAACTCCAGGGCTCAGTGATCCTCCTAGCTCAGCCTCCCAAGTAGCTGGGACTATAGGTAGGCAGCACTATGCCCAGCTAATTAATTTTCATGTAGAAATGGGGTCTCACTCTGTTGCCTAGGCCGGTCTCAAACTCCTGACCTCCTCCCACCTTGACCTCCCAAAGCACCTGGATTATAGGCATGAGCCACCATGTCTGGCCTACATTCTATACTGCTAAAGAAGGCATCTGTTTAGCCTAGGACTCAATTTTCCAGATCCCTAAAAAGGAAATGGGGGAAAGATGATCAATTCAAACATAAATTCCCTGGCTGACACTTCTACAGATGAGGTCCTGCTGCATCCTCAGGCAACTGACTCCCCACCTTGGAGCTGATCCTACCGAACTGTTTCAGCCCACCTACATGCCCCTGGGCAATGACAGACCCTTCTGTGGACCAGCGCCGGCTCACACACTCTGGCAAGCATCTTGGCCACTGGCAGGCTGGAGGTCACAGCAGAGTCGAGGTCTTTTGGGAAAGTCTGAATTTCAGCCTTGCCTGGAGTCTCATTCCCAAGCTCTTAGTTCCTTCGCTGGCTGGCTTCCCTCAGCATGAGTCAGTAGCTGCTTTCTGAATCTGCTACTCGTGAAAGGCTTAACAGTCTTTTTTTATCCTTTTCATGAGCTAACTACTCTTTACGGTTTAACAACCCTGAAATGTTTCCTGTTTAAATTACTGGTGTGGTTCATCTCCTGATACCACCCTGATTGACAAATATCTCAGTATCAAAAGATGGTATAGGAAAAAGGGTCATCTCTCAACTGTTGCTATAATTGACTTAAAACCCAAACTCAAATAAAAATATCTTCTTCCAAAGATAAGTGGGAGATGGAGAAAAGTTCAACAAACCATAATCACAAAAACATGAAAAAAACCATACTGAGGCACATCATAATCATCAAATTTCTCCAACCAACTCATCTAAGAGAAAATTTTAAGTGGCCAGAAGAAAAAAAAAATTACAGCTTATACAGAAGAACAAAGGTAAAAATGACAGCAAATTTCTCACAGAAATAATGCAAGTGGCCAGGTACAGTGGCTCATACTTATAATCCCAGCACTGTGGGAGGCCCAGGCAAGAGGATTACTTGAGGCCAGTAGCTCAAGACCAGCCTAGGTAACATAGAGAGACCTCATCTCTACAAAAATTAAAAAAAAAAATTAGCCAGGTGGTGGGGCATGCCTGTGGTCCCAGGCATTTGGGAGGCTGAGAAGGGAGGATTGCTTGGGCCCTGGAGGTCAAGGCTTCAGTGAGTCGTGATCACATCACTGCACTCCAGCCTGGGTGACAGAGTGAAAATACAACGCCTTTCTGATGAAAAATTAATGGATTCCAAATTTGAAAATTGGCAAGTAACTTTCTTTAGTTTTAGTTGAGTCATGTGACATGAGACACTGTTCAATAATAATTTAAAATACATTTTATCTCAAAGGACATCCAGACCTATAAAGAAATGTTGCCAATTTTTAGCCTAGAAGATCAAACCTGTGACATAGATATTTTTAATCTTTTACATTTATCAAATAACAATTCCAGTTAAATGTAAAAAAAATAGTTTTATCATGATGGACAGTAATCCGGCTATGTTAAGTCAAAATTCTGGATTTAATGGGATTTTAAAGCAATAGACTGATGTTTCCCTTTATTGCTTTAGTCTGCTCCATGATACATATTCTAAAATATTGTGCTCAATTTTGACAGCAGACTCTATGAAAAACATAATTGATGGATATAGTTGCTAAAATCATTCAGTATATATGTGCAAGTTCTATGAAGCATCATTTTATGGAAATAAAACAAAAGCTATATAAGCGCTAGCTATGATTACTGAAAGAAATAGATGGTAATACATTTTTTACCTGGCAGTCTGTGCTTACATTTTCTCATTAATATGTACTATCTATGAATGAGCTACATAAGAACCAAAGAAAGAAAAAGCTTACTTGTGACCTAGCTAGCCAGTATAAGAATTTATATAGAAATGGAAACTTTTCATAATATTAATTGATAATGATACTGGGATGGGCTTGACACCCCCCTGCCAGTACCTGGCCCCCACCTGGTGTCCTGGGGCCCTCTCCATCCTCCCCTTGCCTACCTGCTCCCTACACTTCCAGCCAGAGTCGGTGCAGGTCCTCAGCAGTAAAGACGTTCTTGACCATTACCCCTTACATCTCCCAAACCCAATAACGAACACACAGCTTGGCTGCCTGGAACCTGATTGCTGTTTCATAAGGAGTCCTTGTTAGGATCATCACAATGGTGGCCATAATATCCACAACTACCCAGGATTAAATGTGAGCGCTTATGCAAGCGCTCACAAACATCCTACCCTCAGACACTGTGCTGTGAATAATACTGTCATCTGACCTGAGGGTTAAAGAGGTTAAGTAACAGCTAGGGAGTGATGGGGTTCAAATTTGAACTTAGAGCTGTCTGATCTGATTCATGGATGGCTAATGTGGTTTTCCGAAACTACCACTTGTCTAGACCAGCTTTTCTCAACCTCAGCATTATAATTCCTTGTAGTGAGGGGTCTCTGGGCATTATAGGATGCTTATAAGTAACCCTGACCCCTACCCAGTTGTGACAACCAAACATTTCCAGGTTGCCGTATGTCCCCTTGGGGAATGGGACAACATCACCCTGGTGGAGAACCACTGGTCTAGACTCTGTTATTGGTGTCCTTTTGTCATTTGAATTTGTGTTCACTTTTTTTTTTTTTTTTTGAGACAGAGTTTCACTCTTGTTGCCCAGGCTGTAGTGAATTGGCGCAGTCTCGGCTCACTGCAACCTCCACCTCCCCAGTTCAAGTGATTCTCCTGCCTCCACCTTTCAAGTAGCTGGGATTACAGGCATGCACTACCATGCCTGGCTAATTTTTGTATTTTTAGTAGAGACAGAGTTTCAGCATGTTGGCCAGGCTGGTCTTAAACTCCTGATTTCAGGTGATCTGCCCCACTCAGCCTCCCAAAGTGCTGGGATTACAGGCGTGAGCCACCACGCCTGGCCACATTTTTGTTCATTTTAAAAAGCCAGCTCTCTTTTTCTTCTATCTCCTAGATTTCCTGGCTTGCTTAGCAATGTTTCCCGCCACTGTAAGATGGTACAAATATTATTCTAAATTTTCTTTTAACATTTCTTATGTTTTTTTTTCAATATTTATATCTCTAGACCACCTAGAATTTACCTTTTTATATGATGTGAGGGTCTGCAACTTCATTCCTGAAGTCAGCGAGACCACAAACCCACCGGGAGGAACAAACAACTCTGGATGCACTACCTTTAAGAGCTGTAACACTCACTGCAAAGGTCTGCGGCTTCTCTCCTGAAGTCAGTGAGACCACGAACCCACTGGAAGGAAGAAACTCTGGACACATCTGAACATCTGAAGGAACAAACTCCAGACACACCATCTTTAAGAGCTGTAACACTCACCTCAAGGGTCTGTGGCTTCATGCTTGAAGTCAGTGAGTCCAAGAACCCACCAGAAGGAACCAATTCCGGACACATTTTGGCAACCACGAAGGGGTTATCGCCTATCTCCAAGCAGTGAGTACCATCAGACCCCTTTCGCTTGCTATTCTGTCCTATTTTTCCTTAGAATTTGGGGGCTAAATACCTGCACCTGTCAGCCAGTTGAAAGCGACTAGTGTGGCCACTGGACTACAGACACGGGTGTCAAGCTTTCTGGGAAAGGGCTAACAACCCCTGACTCTTCAGAGCTGGCAGCATTGGTTTGCCTAGAACCAGCTTCCACTTTTCATGTACTTCTGGGCTGAGCCGAGCATCAACAGAGAGGGAAGTCATTCAGCTCCAGGGTCCCGAAAACAAGTTGGTTGACCCTGCAGCCATGAGCAGAACTCTCAAAGCCTTGTCGCCCAAGCGAGACTCGCCCATCTATCCTATTTATCCTGACCCTTGCCTCCTGGGTCCTAGCGCCTGTCAGACAAACTTCCTCTCGCCTCTTTTCTCTGAGACTAGTCCTGCTTCTAAAAACCACTCCCTGTCTCTGGTGCTTTCCTAGTTCCTCCTATAAGAATGATTTCTAGTATAAATTTCAGGACTGTGTTACCTTCTTTAGGCACCCAGACTCACCAATCAGAAAGACATAATTTTTGCCCAAAGCCCCGTCGGGCAGGGGACTATCTGGAATTTTAGGATCCCTTCTCAGACCAGCAGGCCTAACAAAAGCTATTCCTGAAGCTAGGATATGGGGAGCTTCAGAAATGATATCCTTCCTATTCAAGTGAGGACAAAAGGCGTTACTCTTCCAACCCTGGATATCCCTTCCCTCCCTCAGGGTATGGCCCTTCACTTCATTTTTGGGGCATAACATCTTTATAGGACACGAGTAAAGTCCCAATACTAATAGAAGAATGCTTAGGACTCTAACAGGTTTTCGAGAATGTGTCGGTAAGGGCCAATAAATCTGATTTTTCTCAGTCCTCTCTGTGGTCTAGGAGGACAGGCAAAGGTGCAGGTTTTCGAGAATGCATCGGTAAGGGCCACTAAATACAACATTCCTCGGTCCTCCTTGTGGTCTAGGAGGAAAACTAGTGTTTCTGCTGCTGCGTCAGTAAGAGCAACTATTCCGATCAGCAGGGTCCAGGGACCGTTGCAGGTTCTCGGGCAAGAGGTATTTCTGCTGCTGCGTCAGTGAGCGCAACTATTTTCATCAGCAGGGTCCAGGGACCGTTGTGGGTTCTTGGGCAGGGGGCAAAACAAACAAACCAAAACTGTGGGCGATTTTGCCTTTCAGATGGGAAACACCCAGGCATCAACAGGCTCACCCTTGAAATGCATCCTAAGCCATTGGGACCAATTTGACCTGCAAACCCTGAAAAAGAGGTGGCTCATTTTTTTCTGCACTGTGGCTTGGCCCCAGTATTCTCTCTTTGATGGGGGAAAATGGCCACCTGAGGGAAGTATAAATTACAATACTATCCTGCAGCTTGACCTTTTGCTGTAAGAGAGAAGGCAAAAGAAGTGAAATATCTTATGTCCAAGCTTTCTTTTCATTGAAGGAGAATCCACAACTATGCAAAGCTTGCAATTTACATCCCACAGAAGGACCTCTCAGCTTACCCCCATATCCTAGCCCTCTATAGCTCCCCTTCCTATTAATGATAAGCCTCCTCTAATCTCCCCGGCCCAGAAGGAAACAAGCAAAGAAATCTCCAAAGGACCACAAAACCCCCCGGGCTATCAGTTATGTTCCCATCAAGCTGTAGGGGGAGGGAAATTTGGCCCAACCTGGGTACATGTCCCCTTCTCCCTCTCTGATTTAAAGCAGATCAAGGCAGACCTGGGGGAGTTTTCAGGTGATCCTGATAGGTACACAGATGTCCTACAGGGTCTAGGGCAAACCTTCGATCTCACTTGGAGAGATATCATGCTATTGTTAAGATCAAATCCTGGCCTTTAATGAAAAGAATGTGGTTTTAGCTGCAGCCTGAGAGTTTGGACATCCTGGTATCTTAGTCAAGTAAATGATAGAATAAGAGCTAAAGAAAGGGACAATTCCCTACCAGTCAGCAAGCCATCTCCAGCGTGGATCCCCACTGGGACCTAGACTCAGATCATGGGGACTGGAGTCGTAAACATTTGCTGACCTGTGTTCTAGAAGGACTAAGGAGAATTAGGAAAAAGCCCATGAATTATTCAATGATGTCCACCATAACTCAGGGAAAGGAAGAAAATCCTTCTGCCTTCCTTGAGTGGCAAAGGAGGCCTTAAGAAAATATACTCCCCTGTCACCCGACTCACTCAAGGGTCAACTGATCCTAAAAGATAAGTTTATTACCGAATCAGCCGCAGATATCAGGAGAAAGCCCCAAAAGCTAGCCCTGGGCCCTGAACAAAATCTGGAGGCATTATTAAACCTGGCAACCTTGGTGTTCTATAATAGGGGCCAAGAGGAAGCAGAATGGTTCATTGTTCTGGACTTCAAGGATGCCTTCTTCTGTATTTCCCTGCACTCTGACTCCCAGTTTCTCTTTGCTTTTGAGGATCCCACAGGCTACATATCCCAACTTACATGGACAGTCTTGCCCCAGTGGTTTAGGGATAGCTTTCATCTGTTTGGTCAGGTACTGGCCCAAGATCTAGGCCACTCTCAAGTCCAGGCACTCTGGTCCTTCAGTATGTGGATGATTTGCTTTTGGCTACAACTTCAGAAGCCTCAGGCCAGCAGGCTGCTCTAGATCTCTTGAACTTTCTAGCTAATCAAGGGTACAAGTCGTCTAGGTTGAAGGCCCAGCTTTGCCTACAGCAGGTCAAATATCTAGGCCTAATCTTAGCCAGAGGAACCAGGACCCTCAGCAAGGAATGAATATAGCCTATACTGGCTTATCCTTGCCCTAAGACATTAAAACTGTTGTGGGGGTTCCTTGGAATCACTGGCTTTTGCCAACTATGGATCCCAGGATGTAGTGAGAGGGCCAGACCACTCTATACTCTAATCAAGGATACCCAGGGGGCAAATACTCATCTAGTAGAATGGGAACCAGGGGCAGAAACAGCCTTCAAATCCTTAAAGCAGGCCCTAGTACAAGCTCCAGCTTTAAGCCTTCCCACAGGACAAAATTTCTCTTTATACGTCACAGAGAGAGCAGGGTTAGCTCTTGGAGTCCTTACTCAGACTCGTGGGACAACCCCACAACCAGTGGCATACCTAAGTAAGGAAATTGATGTAGTAGCAAAAGGCTGGCCTCACTGTTTAAGGGTAGTTGCGGCGGTGGTTGTCTTAGTGTCAGAGGCTATCAAAATAATACAAGGAAAGGATCTCACTGTCTGGACTACTCATGATGTAAATGGCATACGAGGTGCCAAAGGAAGTTTATGGCTATCAGAAAACCACCTACTTCCCTACAATAAAGGCTCATGTGTGGCGAGATTGGGGTATAAGGAGACTTTGTAACTCTCGTTCAGTATATATGGACATGGGAGGTGCTAGAAAGGAGTGAAAGCATAGTTCTTTCAGAGTGCTGTTTAGGCATCAATACCCTGTGTAATCACAGATGAAAAAAAAATGCCTGAAGTTAGGTGAAACCTGGGGTTACTGATATACAGGACTGACATCAGAAGGTGTTCTTATTGACAGCCATGCTGAAGTTTATGCACGTGAGATTTGAGGCCTGTGTGGCTGGTAAATTGGTGACTATGGGACTGATTGATTTGGTGATGTTTAGTACTGGGGTGGATAAGTTCCACTGTCCAGGGACAGGGACTGGGACATACATTGAAAATGCAAGGGGAGACACATCCAGCAGTTGGTTGGATTACCAGGAGAGGCTTCTTGTATTCCTGTAAGGGTGGTGTTAAAGAGGCTCCAGAGATGAGAATGAGAGTTAAGGGCTTCCTGTAGCCTGGAAAGGTCTAATTTCTTGTATGGACTGGGAGTACTGGAGGGCTGGACTAAGTTTTTAATTTTGTGGGGGAAAAGAAAGAGAGATCAGACTATTGCTGTGTCTATGTAGAAAGAAGTAGACATAAGAGACTATTTTCTTCTATTGTTTGAAATAGCATGATTAGATTTTTTGTAGAGACTCTAACTCCCCCTCTTTTTCAAAGAATTTTAATAGAGCTGAGATAAGAGGCATATTTACTTTTAGTTTGCTCTATTGCTACCTTAGGTCCTTCTGATCACACAAGCTTACCGCAAGGCTGACTGTAGATGTATTCAGGAATCTCTCGTTGACTTGTCCTCAATGACTACACTCGAGCGTACCTTCACCTTAGAGAAAAGCCCCACGTTGGGTGCCAGATGAAGGGGTTGCCTGCCTCTCCACACCTGTGGGTGTTTCTCATTGGGTGGGATGAGAGACCGAGAAAAGAAAGAGACACAGAGACAAAGTATAGAGAAAGAAATGTGGGCCTAGGGGACTGGCGCTTAGCATATGGAGGACCTGCACCGGCACTGGTCTCTGAGTTTCCTCAGTATTTATTGATCATTATCTCTACCATCTCAGAAACGGGGATGTGGCAGGACAATAGGGTAATAGTGGGGAGAGGGTCAGCAGGAAAACATGTGAACAAATGTCTCTGTGTTATAAACAAGGTTAGAAAAGGTGCTGTGCTTTGATGTGCACATACATAAACATCTTTGGTGCATTAAAGAGCAGTATTGCTGCCAGCATATCTCACCTCCAGCCTTAAGGTGGTTTTCTCTTACCTCAGTAGAGGGAACATACAATCGAGTTTTACACAGAGACATTCCATTTCCTAGGGACCAGCAGGAGACAGATGCCTTCCTCTTATCTCAACTGCAAAGAGGCTTTCCTCCTTTACTAATCCTCCTCAGCACAGACCTTTTACAGGTGTCAGGCTGGGGGATGGTCAGGTCTTTCCCTTCCTATGAGGCCATATCTCAGACTATCACATGAGAAGAAACCTTAGACAATACCTAGCTTTCCTAGGCAGAGGTCCCTGTGGCCTTCCGCAGTGTATTGTGTCCTTAAGTACTCGAGATTAAAGAGTGGTGATGACTTTTAACAAGCATACTGCCTTCAAGCATTTGTTTAACAAAGCACATCCTGCATGGCCTTAAATCTATTGAACCTTAAGTCAACACAGCACATGTCTCTGCGAGCACAAAGTTAAAGGTAAGGTTACAGATTAACAGCATCTCAAAGCAGAAGAATTTTTCTTAGTACAGAACAAAATGGAGTCTCTTATGTCTACTTCTTTCTACATAGACACAGTAACAGTATGATCTCTCTTTCTTTTCCCCACAAATATCTTGTTGGATATGCCATTCTTTAGCCTCATCTTGGAGGCCCCCTCAGTCAGACATACCTATATGGGTATAATATGTCCAACAAGCATTGGCCCCCCATTTCTCAGGGCAGTCAGATCAGATCATTTTTCCTTGGCGATATGTACGGCCATTGTGAGAACAGAGAGAAGCAGTTTTACAACATTTTGTTCTCATGTAAGTATACACGGCAAAAGATGTGGGTGCTTGGAAGGGGCTACCTAATCCCCAAGAGTTTCTGAGGGAATGCTGGTTGACTCCCCCAAGGGAGGCACACTGACATGGGGGGTGTGTTGCAGTTGGAGAAAGGGACATAAGTACGAAGAGGATGGCAGGAAACGTAAAAGGAGTCAAGACGTGTTGTAGGTGGAATGGTCGTAGGAAAGAGGAGGGAAAAAGGAGTAAATTGCTGTTAGAAGGAAGGACGATAGAAGAAGGGTTGATGTGATAACCTGATGTGATTAAGATTTTTGTCTCGGCTGGAGCTACAGTATATAATCCTACTGCAAAAAGTGTAGTTACTGTACTGCTTAATAATGTAATGAAGCAGTAGAAGGATTCCATTAAAGAGAGCAAGGGGAGATGTCAAAGATCAGTAGGTTTTCTACTTATCCTCCTTTAGGTAGAAAAAAGTTCCTTTTCAGGATTAACTGCAGGAGTTTTTCTGCTCAGAGGTTTTTCTTTCCGAAATATGAGATGCAGATCCTCTGGTGGCTGACAGGTGTATCGAGGCTGGTCTGGCTGACTTCGTGACTCCTGAGGTGATGATCCTACAAGTTCCTCAGGAGGTGTCCAAGGTTTGACTCAGGTGTGGTGAATCCAGGATTCCACTCCTACTACTTTAACTGCAGTGGGGGTAGAGAGGATTACTGAGTATGGTCCTTCCCATAAGGATCCATAGATGGAGACGTAGACAGGAGAGACTTGGCCAATACTAGATCTGATTGAAACAACTCTATTCCTTTTTCCCTGTCACACTTTTCAAGTAAAGTTTTAAGATTCTGTTGATATTTTGCCAGAGAAGTTATATCTTTGACTAAATTGGCCATTTCCTGATCAAGCAGGAGGTCATTTGTGAGAAAAGGCCATCCATATAGCATTTCATATGGACTGGGCCCCATTCTGTGAGGGGAGTTTCGAATTCTTAATAAGGCCATGGGCAAGAAAGTGGGCCATGGGAGATGAGTTTCTTGTGTTAGCTTTCTCAAATGCCTCTTAAGTGTTTCATTAGCCTTTTTGACTTTTCCTGAGGATTGTGGCCTTCAAGCACAGTGAATGTGATATTGTATTCCTAGTGCCTTGGAAATTCCTTGAGTTATTGTAGCTTTAAAAGCTGGTCCAGGCCGGGCGCGGTGGCTCACGCCTGTAATCCCAGCACTTTGGGAGGCCGAGGCGGGTGGATCATGAGGTCAGGAGATCGAGACCATCCTGGCTAACAAGGTGAAACCCCGTCTCTACTAAAAATACAAAAAATTAGCCGGGCGTGGTGGCGGGCGCCTGTAGTCCCAGCTACTCGGGAGGCTGAGGCAGGAGAATGGCGTGAACCCGGGAAGCGGAGCTTGCAGTGAGCCGAGATTGCGCCACTGCAGTCCGCAATCCGGCCTGGGCGACAGAGCGAGACTCCGTCTCAAAAAAAAAAAAAAAAAAAGCTGGTCCATTGTCACTCTGTAAGCTTTGGGGAAGTCCAAATCTAGGAATTATTTCATGAACTAAGACTTTAACCACCTCTTGGGTCTTTTCTGTTCTACAAGGGAAGGCTTCCACCCAATTTGTAAAGGTATCAACACAGACCAGTAAGTACTGAAATCCTCCTGACTTTGGCATATGGGTAAAATCTAACTGCCAGTCCTCTCCAGGATAATGTCCTGTTCTTTGTCTGCCTGGAGAGGCCTTATGATGGGCTAAGGGGTTATACTTCTGGCACACTTCACAGGCTTTCATTACTTGCCGGATGGTTTTGAGAGGTTTGACCCCATAAATAGGGATGTGGCCATCTTATGGGTACTTTCAATACCCACATGAAAAGTTTGGTGGAGAGTTTTAAGTATTTTCACTGGCTGGCTTCAGGTATGACCACCCTTCCTTCCTCTGTTGTTAGCCACCCTGAGGGGAGAAAACTATGTCCTTGTGAAAGTCCCCAATTCTGGTTCAGTTGGGGAATACTGGGGCTTAACTTCCTGGAGGGGGTTGCTCCATACCAGGGGTCCTTCCATGGGTATTTCTGGAGGAAAGTCCCGCCTGGCAGCAAGTTTGGCCTCAGCGTCTGCTTGGCGGTTTCCTCCTGCTTCCTCTCCTTCACCTTTTTATTTTTTATTTTTTTATACTTTAAGTTCTAGGGGACATGTGCACAACATGCAGGTCTGTTACATGTGTATACATGTGTCATGTTGGTGTGCTGCACACATTAACTTTCATTTACATTAGATAGATCTCCTAATGCTATCCCTCCCCCCTCCCCCCACCCCACGACAGGCCCCAGTGTGTGATGTTCCCCACCCTGTGTCCAGGTGTTCTCATTGTTCAATTCCCACCTATGAGTGAGAACATGCAGTGTTTGGTTTTCTGCCTTTGTGATAGTTTGGTCAGAATGATGGTTTCCAGCTTCATCCATGTCCATACAAAGGACATGAACTCATCCTTTTTTATGGCTGCATAGTATTCTATGGTGTATATGTGCCACACTTTCTTAATCCAGTCTATCTTTGTTGGACATTTGGGTTGGTTCCAAGTCTTTGCTATTGTGAATAGTGCCACAATAAACATATGTAAAGACAGGAGGATCCCTTGAGCCAAGGAGTTTGAGGGTGCAGTGAGCCATGATTGCACCACTGCAATCCAGACTGGGCCACAGAGCAGCATGCTGTCTCAAAAAAAAAAAAAAAAAGAAAAGAAAAGACTTTTGTAGTAAGGAACATTTAAAATTTGTGTGTGTTTGTGTGGGGGACACACTATAAATCAATTGACCCATTAAAATAATGGACTAGTAGTTAAAAATATATTGTTTAAAAGGACAAATAATAAGGCAATCATGATGTCTCATATGAAAATCAAGACTCAAGTTGACAAGTAAAACATTTAACACCCAATTAAACTCAACATCAGCAACGTTTAATTTCAGCAAAACATTATCTGTTACATTAAAATTGTTAATTTGTATTTTATTAATGTTATAGTTTTATTTGTATTTAGTTTGTAATTTTGTTTAGGTTGTATAAAAACATTGAATTTATAGCTAAATATTATAGAACATTATATTTGCATGTATCCAAGTAGCATTATTGAAAAACTCATTTGGATAAACATTGAGATTTTAGGAGTTCCTTTAAAAGAGTTCTGTACATAACTACATTTAAGAAACTCCCTCATGACAATTCCATGAGATAGTTACTATTATCCACATTTTGCAGATGAAGATACTGAGACTTAACAAAAATAAGTAAAATTGTCTACGGTTATGAGTGTAGCAAGATACCAGTGAAGCTGAAACTTGAACCCAGGTTTGCCTAAATTCAAAGTCTGTGCTGCCTCATTTACAGGGAAAGATGGTACTGGAGCCCCCGGAATAGGTGGTGTGAGGGCCTCTGAAGGTCAGAAGGCAACCTGGGCTTCCTGGTATTCAAAAGACAGGAACAAGTGTAAAAGAGGGGAAGAGGTCTCAGAAAGCAAGATGAGACATAGTTCTTGGCCAAGTGTCCTCCTGGCAGCCCACAGACACCTGAAGATTCAGTCATTCCTCTTCTACGAACCCCTGTGCTGGGGACTAAGGATACAGAGACAATAAGACTGTGCCTTCCTAGTCTTCAAAGAGTTAATGGTGTTGCTACTAACTTAGAGGATGTGTGCTCGAGAGAGGACTCATTTGAAAGTCTGCAAATTCCCAATGTTTACCCACTGCCCATGTTCACTGAAAGTTATTCCAGTTCAGCTTTTTCAGTCCAGCTGAGCAATGAACTCCACCTAAATTCTGCCCCTCCTCTGCTATAAAACAAAGTAGAAGAAGAAAAATGTAGAAGTGGCAAAGAGATCCATTGAGTAACCCATCCAAGAAATACATGTGGCAGGTCTGTCATAGTAATGGAGTGATGCTGGGTATTGTGGGGCACAGATAATTCGGTTCTTGCTCTTCAAGGATTGTTTATTAATAGTAACAATAACAGCAGCTAATACTAAGATGAGGCGTACATATGCGAAACACTGTTCTAAGTGCTTTACATTGATTAACTCATTTAATCCTCATAACTGATCTTTGAGGTAGATATTATTACATCCATTTAACTGAGCCACAGAAAAGTTAAATATTCATCCGGGATCACACACACTAGTAAGGGCAAGGCTAGGATCGGCATCCTGGCAGTCTGCTCCAGAGCCTGCCATGCTCTCACCTACTGCACTACAGTGGGGGCTGAATGTCCATTGGCTTCATTCCCCCTGGGTGGGTAACAGCTGGGAGTGCCCTGATTGCATTAATTCATACTAAGGTTGGTGGATTTAAAACTTCCAAGGAAAATTTGCATTTTAAAAGCCAAACTTCTCGATCTAAAGGAATACCTGGCAAATCGCTGCAGGACATCTGGTTGAGTTCAGCTTTGTTTCACTCTGCTGAGCCCTTTAAAATGTACCTGCCTGTTTCTGCCCACCCCAATGCTCCCCCAAACCCTCCCCTTTCCAAAGACAATGCAGGAATTTCCCTATTCTTCAGTGACTCCCTAGAACTGCAGGGTCCACCCCAGAGCACCCTACCTGGCAGCACTTAACTTGTTTAACAGGAATTGGGTCTGTGAGTAAGGAGGTCCCCAGCGTGCCGAGAAGACTGACCAGGAGCAGCATCAAGATGAAGTAGAGGCAGTGCTGTACACTGCAGATGAGCAAAAGGCCCTTGCTGTTCTCCATGCAGCTCAGGGTGTCTGGAGGCCCACTTGACCCCCAGTCAAAAGAAGCCAACCGCTAGCCTGAAAGTCAGCCCCCAGAAGGCACCCTTTCAAAGAGGGAGCCCACCAGAGTCACCTGGAAGACGGGTGATGAGACAAACCATCTTCATCCTTGCTGCCTTGACTATCTGAGTCCCAAATGTGTTCAAAGAATTGTGTCTTTCCTATCTGTCTACACGACACCTCCTCTCCCTGGTTGCTCAGGTCAAAACCCTGAGCCACCGCTGGTTCCTTTCTATCTTGTCCTGCCACCAATCCACCCATAAATCATGGGTGTCATGGCATTAGCCCTGACTTGGAAGCTTATCTCCTGGGTTTGAGTGCCCCTCTGGAACTTGCTAAGCTGTGAGATACCAAGCAAGTTGATATACCTCTACTTTCTTCGAGATATATAATACACATTTTATTTAATTAACCCATTCAACCCTCAAGGCAGCCCTCACCTGAGTTGTGGTTGTGGGCTTAGTGCTTCATTGCAATCAAGGTTGATTTTTGAACCTTTAATATGAGAGTAGGAACAGAAGGGTTTTGAATTCATTACCACCTCAGAAGCTAACACCAAGATCCATGGATAAACAGTGAGTGGACGGACAGGCAGATGAACAGGCAGATTTGATATGAAACAAGTCCTCTTCAAAGTTAGGAGGAAGAAAATATTTTAAACTTTCAATTTTCCATAGATCATTTTCTCAGAAGTTGACTGTATTGTCACTTTGAATCATTAAACCAAGCCAGGCACAGAGATCCCACATGAAAACTGAATGTAAATCAGATATTACCCATATCAACACCAAAATCAGCTGATCTCATCTTTTCTCTTCTGCATTTATATTGATTTGTTCCTCTGTATAGTTCAGAGGAACTAAGGACAGGTGACGGGGCTGAACAGAAACCAAACACAAATATGTTAGTGATGGGGGAATATTTACAATAATACAAGGTACGTTCATTTATTGTGTGGTGCAAAGAATTCAAAATTTAAAGAAGAGCAAGATAATACAGAAAAGAGCTCCTACCACACCCACTCGGCTATAGGCACAGTTTTTGTTTCTGTTATTAGTTGTTCTGGTACTTCCTAAGATTCTAAATAACATGCTTAAAATTCATCTTTCTGTATTCATAATTTTAAAAAGTCAACTATTTATCACAAAATTCTCCCACTTGTCTCTACCATAAAACTCTTATTAGCTCCATCATCATTATTTTCCATTTGTCTATTGGTTATGTTTATAACTTGTAAAGTGTGTTCTAAAGCTCCTTGTGTGATGTATCTATGTAAATAGTCACAAAGTCCCAAAACAATTGAAATCCTTACATGTCCCTTACACATCCCTCCTCACAAATTCTATCAACTATAACATTATTTTTAAACTGCTATTTTTTTTTCTTTTGAGACAGAGTCTTGCTCTGTCACCGGGCTGGAGTGCAGTGGTGCGATCTTGGCTCACTGCAGCCTCCGCCTCCTGGGTTCAAGTGATTCTCCTGTCTCAGCCTCTGGAGTAGCTGGGACTACAGGCACATGCCACCAGACCCAGCTAATTTTTGTATTTTTAGTAGAGATAGGATTTCACCATGTTGGCCAGGATGGTCTCAATCTCTTGACCTCGTGAGCCACCCGCCTGGGCATCCCAAAGTGTTTATGAATATTTCTAAGTGCTGCTTCCTAATATTCAGAAACTTGTATTTGTCCCTAGTATCAGAGGTATACGGGCCTTCTATGTCCTTTTATCACCAATGGCTATGTTAAATCTTGCAGTTTCAAATGCTGATGTTTTCCCTAAGCTCTGTGACTACTGTAGCCACCTTGTAGACGATGTTTGGGATTTCTGTAGACCCATGTAAACCTAGGACTGGCATGGGTAAGGGAATCACCTTATGGTTACAACTGATGGCAGGGTTGTGAGCCACCCTTTTTGGGGTGATAACTGCAGTTCAATAATTGATTGTATTAACACCAGGGCCACATGCCTAGGCATATGTTACCTCCTTTCCTTAGGGGCTTGTATGCTTGGGCATATGCATTTAGCACCTTAGTTTCTTCATCTGAGGAGTACAGATAGTGAACAACCACAACTCAGGTGAGGGCTGCCGTGAGGGTTGAATGGGTTAATTAAATAAAATGTGTATTGTATATCTTGAAGAAAGTAGAGATGTATCAACTTGCTTGGTATCTCGCAGCTTAGCAAGTTCCAGAGGGGCACTCAAACCCAGGAGATAAGCTTCCAAGTCAGGGCTAATGCCATGACACATAGCTGCTTTGTACCAAAATAACCACTTTAACTTAACCCCAACCTGATGTTGAAGGAATCAGACACAGGTATCAAAAATGCTTTTGGTGACATCCTGATTCTACACAGTGACTACTTACAATTTTTTAAAAATTATATTTTCTACAAAATGAATGAGTTACCTGACCAAAGATCAACAAATACCTGGTCAAATAAGATGAACACCAGTTTACCTGGGGAGATGAATTGTCTTCTATAACATCTTGGTGTTCTAAAAATATGACATAATATCATCCTGTATGATTTACTCCTCCTAAATAGAAGTGGCTCAAACTGAGCCTGTTTCCCAGTTGTGGAGATGCCCATAGCCTCACCTTGGAAAAGTGCTCTGCATGCTGTCACAGGAAAACTAATTTGTGCATTCCTTATACCTGGAGATCATAGGTTGGGTGAAAGTATATAATTAATAGCTCTGTAAAGAGAAAATTTTGTAAAATCCACAAAAATATATTTAAAATTTATATGTTTTGGTAGATAAACTGACTTAGACACAGAAGTTATGATATATTTGGAAAAACTTGTGATATGAGAAGAAGCAACATGCTCTCCAATATGGTAAACTAAATACACATTTCAGGCTGAAGAAGAGAAGGAAGCTGTGTTATTAAAAGTAAAGGCAAAAAACCACAATTACTTTTGCACCAATTTGTTACAAGAAATGTTAGAATTCTTTTCTGTGTGAAATGCCTTCCTTCACATTTCTGCATTTCAGATTCACTTCAGATTAATGAAATCGAGAATTTAAAGGGTCATTGATGATCTTAAAACAGAAGGAAAATAGATTCTGTATTCTTCCAGATAATATCTAACAGGAAAGTTAGGTGTGCAGAATGTAATGAGAAATACTGCATTTTACTAAATGGAGAAAAAGACAACATTATGGACAATGAATTACTATTTTTTATTAAATTGTGGAATGTAATGACAAAATATTTTTTGAATAATCTAACAAGGCCTTTTGGAAGGACATCATTCAGTAGGTGAATATGAACATATCTTTACAGTATCAATATAGACTATCTTGAGAAAATAGGTGTGAAACAGAACTTCTCTATCATTCTACATATAGAAAATCAGAAATAATCTCCAAGAATGCTATTAGTGTTAATAATTACATCAAAGTTGCAGGGTACAAGGCCAATATTCAAATGATTGGTTTGTTAATACAAACCAACAGTGAATGATCCAACAAGAAGATGACAAATGTAATCCCACTTATAATAACATCTAAAATAACTAAATACTTAGGAATAAACCTAACCAAGGAGGTGAAATACTTGTAGAGTGATTAGAAAGAAAGACTACTGAAAGAAAGCAAAGAAGGTAAAAATAAGTGAAAAGGCATCCTGTATTCATGGATAGGAAGTCTAAATCTTACTAATACACAATATTACACAAATGATCTACAGACTCAAAACAACTATTATCGAACTGGTAATGGCCATGTGTGCAGAAATGGAAAAGCTAATCCTAAAATTATTTTTATGAATTTTCCCATGGCCTCAAATAGCCATGATAACATGAAAAAGAATAGTGTTGGAGGACAGACATTCATAAGATTCAAATTTACAACAAAGCCACAGAAATTTAGACAGCATGGTCCTAGCATAAGGGCACCCATTAGAACCCCTGGGAGAGAAAAGAGAGCCCAGAACTAAATGCACACATACACAGTCAAGTGATCTTCAACAAAGGTGCCAAGAATACACAACTGGGAAAGGAAAGCCTCTTGAACCAATGATATTGGTAAAACTGCATATTCTTATTCAAAAAAGAAATGGAATGCTGACAATGTGCTCAAGGTTGTGCTTACCCACTCAATTTCCAAGACGTTGGAGCTTTTCCAGTGAGCCCAGAGTAAATGTTCATTCTGTCATCCACCCCCAAGGAGAGCTCTTTAAATCAGAAGTAAACAGTAAGGACAGAGAAATTAATGTGCTGCTACAAGTCCTAAAAGTTCATAGGGTGAGGGTAAACACTTGGGCATACAGTAGGAGAATTTTGTCTCCAGGATTAAGGAAGCACCGGTGAGATAGTTGTGTCCTGAAGACTCCTTCCATCACAGATAACATAAAACACCCAACCCAAAACATCTCACACAGAATCCCCATGGGGTGCTAACTAATCCAAACCAAAAGCATTGCTATTTTACAGTAGCAGTGGCAGAAAAAAGCCGGTGTTCTCAGAAAAATCAACTTTAAATAATAAAGCAAGAAAAGATGATCACAAACACAGCACACTCAAAGCTCCAAGGAGGAAAACTGATGCTGAGGAAAATGCCTCTACATTACACTTGATAATGAATACTGTCATTTTAAAATGTCTTAGGGTATCAGGTGTCAGTTGGGAGGAGAGTCCCACTGAACACCACCCCCACAAAGAGAATTGTATATGTTGTACATTATGTGTATTGTTAGATTTTCACATCTAAATTGAGAAGGGAGGAAATCAGGAAAGCAACATTTCTTTAGAAGACAAAGAGAGTGGGTATTACCTGGGCACGATCTTCTTCATCCTTTGATTTCATAGATGTTACACTGAAAATTTTCAGGAAATGTTTAAAAGAAACAGAAAAAAGAAAAAAGAAACCTGATTTTTAATAGCAAAATGTTTGAAATGACAATTCAGCAAAGAAGATATACAGATGGCAAATAAACACATAAAAAGAAGCTTAATATTATTAGTCATTCAGGTAACAAACATGAAAAACATAATGATGTGCACAACACACACCCTTCAGAATGACTCAAAATATAAAATAAATGCTGATGCTAAGTGTTTGTGATGACACACAGAGCAACTGGAATTGTCATATACAGCTGCAGAAACAGAAAATGGTACATATACTTTGGAAAATAATTCAGCAGTTTCCTGATAAAAGAACATAAAGTGGCACAATGAGACTTCTGTGGATGATGAATATCTTAACTTCCTTGATTACGGTGATGATTTCATATTTGCATATATTTCAAAACTTATCAAATCATACATCTTATATTGTTCAGTTTATTATCTATTAATTATGCCTCACTAAAGCTATGGATTACAGGAACAAACATCTAAGACAGTGGCTGGACACAGAGAAAGAAGAAAATGAAATGATGCAGGGTAAAGCGGGAGGACTGAGATCTTTCACCTTCTGGCAATGAGAATAGCTCAGTTTTAAGCAAGGTGGTAATATAATTAGATCTGAATTTTTAAAAATATATGATTATGATGGCAGAGTAGACCATGGTTTTAGGAGGCAGGTTAGCAAGGAAAACACATCTAAGGTTATTGTAGTATATTCCAGATGGGAGACATGGTAACCTGAGCTGGACGAAGGCACAGGAGAGATGCAGACTCAACAGAAACACTGGGAGTGCCATTCACACTGAGAAAAGTACAGTGGAATAACCCTAGGTCTTTGGCTGAGAGTGTACAATATGTAAGAGTTCTCATTCTATTTTAACATAAGGTAGATTTCTGAGATGAACATCACTATAACACATCAGTGCTAAACAATACATGCATACGTTACAGTAGGAAGCACAAAAAGGCCTATTTATGTAATGGTCCTACCATTACAATCCATTCCATGACGTGCATAATGCATCCCATGATCCTCTGAGGTTGCTGCAGATTACAGAGTTAAGTCATCAAGGTCACTCCTAGAATGTAATTGGTTTTTGACCTACAAAATAAATAATACTGTTTTAAAGCATCCCCCAAATATTTATTGCATATACTAAGTGTACAGAAGTGGCAATTGGCCATATTTTTATATAAGCAAAAATATAGGTACTTCTTAAAAGAACTGAGTTTTGTTAAAAGGATAATTATCAATGGCTACTGTTTCTTAATTGTTTTTCAAAGTAGATGTCTTTATGGCAAAATACTTTTGTTTTTTCATTTTATGTTTTATAATGTATTTTCAACAGTAATATTTTTGATAGTGTATGTTTTACAATACCTTCTTCTTTGATGTTTTCTTTGCAGGCCTAAAAGAAAAAAAATTTTTAGGCAAATAGTAAATATGTAGAATATAAAGAATATCTAAAACTATTGTTTTTTTAAATATAAAAATCTCTGCTTTATAATTTGTTTCTCCTGGTCATAAAGTTTGCAGTTACTATTTTTTGCAGGTAATGTAAAGTACAATAATTTTTACAGAGGGGATTAAACTATAAAAAGAAAGAGTAGCTTTAGGGACAAAGAAAATATTCTCTTACCACTATTCTAATAATCATCTAATGAAGAATTCAATTTAGAGCAAGCTTTCTGGCAAACAAAGTGAAAGGACAAACGTAATGTTACTTGCATCATTTGCTAGAAATATACCAGGTATTTTTATTGCCCTTTTCAATAAAAACAAGTTTTTATCAGCACTTAAACCTATTTGCAAAATATTGCTATGCCCTTATAAGAGGAAAACCTTTTTTTAATGATGCCATTAGTTAGCCTTTTCAGGACTTACTATGCAAGTACTGTGTGTTATTTTAAGCACTGTACATGTGTTAAACTCATTTTAATTCTCACAACAATTCTGTGAGGTAGGTAACATATTAGAAATTTTATAAAGGAAGAAACTAGGTACTTGACATCTGCACACACACACAAAAGAAACTAGGCACAAAAAGGCCATGTAACTCACCCAAGCCCATAGAGTTGGTCAGTAGCAGACCAAACATTCAAACTCAGAAACTCTGGCTCCAAAACCTGTGTTTTGCTGTGAAGGGAAAGTAACATTTATTTTCAAGTGTTTTTAGGCGATATGGTGGCAGATAAATTCATATTATCATCCCATTTCTGGCGATAACTATAAATAACAATTTCTGAATCTTACCATTTTTTAAATAAAAATACTTTATACCCAGGCAATTTTTAAAATGTACTTTCAATCAACTATAGTTTATGTTTTCTAAAGACTTTGAGCAACAGGATTTTATTCATTTACTCAACTGTTTATTCATCATGCAACAAATACTTAATGGGCACACAATACATGTTGATGACACATTTGGTCCAGGGAAATGATTTTGATACTTTAGAACTTTATAATCTGAAAGTAATAATTCACAACAGATTGTCAATAGTTTGCCTTACTATTGTACAGAAACAAAATCCTCCCCTTCTCCCTAGAATCTAAACCATTATGACGTTGATACACCTGATATTTTCAAGTACCTTACTAAATCATAGCTATTCATAATACTACTGTAAAAGGTATTGTAATATATACACATCCTCAAGGAATATTTACATTCTATTCAGGGTGGCCTAAGTGTTTGTATGTTTAATATCACATCATTTAAAAAATCTACTATGAGAGTTTAATATTTAGGTTATCATTTTCAGGTTCAATTAGACTAGAATATTCCATTCCTGGGCCAATTCTGAAGGAACAACCTCTTAACACACAACTATAAATGAATAAAAGTGCTAAGGACAATTAGTTTCCTGTAAGTCTTTAAAAGATAATGCATCAAGCTTTCTAATGTTTAACTTGCAAACAAAATTAAATTTGATAAACACGTCCTTCTCCACTGGATCATTCCCATCAGCCTACAAACATGCTCTAAAGGCTTCTATTTTAAAATTACAAACAGAAAATTCCCTTGAATCCCTCATTTTTCTTTGGCTGTCCCTCAATGTTGCCTTTCCCTGTAAAAGTTCTCTCAAAAGTTGTGAAAACTAAGTCATGCTCTGTGACTCACCCAGGGTTTCACGGTGACATTTATTGAAACTGCTCCTTGTCAAAGTCACTAGTCCTCATCTTAATTGATCTTTCAGCAACATTGATACAGCTGAGTATTCTCCCTAGCTTTGGCTGACTACACTATTCTACTTCCAGAAAAAGGAATCACTGCTAACACTCCTTCAGAGGGAAATACAGAACTTACAGATGTCACCTTCCTTTCTCATCTATTTCACTTAAACTGCTGTCATCCTTCAGTTGTAGCAGACCACCACTTAGTAAACTGGCTTTCTCAAATACTGGTGTAATCTCAGATTCTTTTGAGGTTCAGTTTCTATTTTCATTTCCCTTTACTTCCTTCATATACAAAGGCAGGACTACCACTTTTAAAAACTCCTTAAAAAGCATAAAATAAAGAAGCATCACACAATCCATTGTGCCTTACGTGAAGTAGAATGTGGTCTATTCAAAGGGTCCAGGGCAGCTCTAGGCATGATTGGCACTTAACAAAAAGTTAGTTCTTTTTTTTTTTTTTTTTTTTTTTAGACAGAACCTTGCCCTGTCACCCAGGCTGGAGTGCAATGGCACGATATTGACTCACTGCAACCTCCGCCTCCAGGTTCAAGAGATTCTCCTGCCTCAGCCTCCCGAGTAGCTGGGACTACAGGCAAGCGCCACCACGCCTGGCTAATTTTTTGTATCTTTAGTAGAGATGGGGTTTCACCATGTTGGCCAGGCTGGTCTCGAACACCTGACCTCGAACTCCTGACCTCATGATCCACCCACCTTGGCCTCCCAAAGTGCTAGGATGACAGGCGTGAGCCACCACGCCTGGCCAGTTAGTTCTTAAAATACTATGAGGAAAGAGGGCTAAAATAACAACAACAAATTTTTAAAAACAACTTCTTACTTTGATTGCTAAAAAAACTATAAGCCAAAGGAAACTTGGGATTCAAATGAGCAAGTATGACTCATTTTATTCAATACTTAGATTTATACAATATATGTAAATCACATACTTGCAATGATTTATATGAATATTTAAGACTAATACATTTTCAAAAGGGCAGTTAAGGTTGTCGTTTACTATTTTCTACCCAGAAATGCTTTTGTTTGAAAGGAGGGAAGGAAAGCTTCAGTGAAATGAAGTCCTAATACTCCAATTTTAAATCTCTCCGTTTGCTCAGACTGGGCTGGAAAACGTGATTTTTTCAGGATGGAAGAGTTCTGAGAGATAGTAGAATATTTCTGCTACCTAATAGATATTCAGGTAATGTTTGATGAATAAATTCTTTTAAGAATGGATAAATACAGTTGAGGAGTTCAATATTTTTTGAATAAAACTCCTATAAAGTAAACCAATACTTCTGCAAAAGTAATAATCATGTATATCTTCTATTTTTTATTTTCATAAGGACACAATGAAAATAAAATGATTACCCTATTAATTTTTTGCACATATGTAATGAACCTACATGTAATGAAAACACACATATATAATAAAATATATACATAATAAAATCTACAAGCACAGATAAAAAAAGTCCCTTTATTCTGAAGAGGTCAAAAGTTCACCGAAGACACCAATCTACACAAAAATAATAATAATAAACAGAAAATGATAAATTATTTTTAACTTTGAAGATTTATATTCTTCTCTTCCCAAGCATTATTCTATTAATAATAAACTTTCACTACAACTTTTATGCATACTCATTGCCAAAATCAAAGGTAAGAAAAAGGAAAAAACTTTATATATTGTACATATTTTTGGTAACATAAGATCACAACCTGTATGGATATATAATCAAACTGATTTTTTTCTCACTCAGTATACCAAAATACATCTTTGTACATCAACATTCTTCGGTATCTGTTGCCACCTTCAACAATCACTTATTCCATGCTATGAATGCACTGAAATTTATAAAATCCATTCTATGGGTTCTTCCTAAAATTAAGCAGTGCTGAGAAAACCAAATTGCATATATGTCTGTTTCCTAAAGCTATTTTAGTATAATGGAATTGAGGAGTAAAGAGCATATATTTTTTAAAAATACGGCACTTACCACCAAATTATCCATTTGAAAAGTCATCAGACTCTTTTTAACTTTAAGCAGCAGTATAAGCACCACTGCTCTTCATCATCACAAAATTGGGAATAGAAAACAGTATTTCGCTCCTCTTTACTTTAAATTCCTTCTCTTCCCAGGAAAGCTAAGCATGTTTTCTTTTGTATATAGATAACATGTTAAAACCTTGATATTTTATTAGGTTTATAAAAAATTAATAAACACATAAAGGGCTCACATTTTAAGAAAAATCGGTCTTCCTATCAAAGAACATGCAGCTCTCTTCCTACTTCAACATTTCCTTCTAAGTTCCCTCAGTAAAGAACATATTTACATAGATGTACATTGATATAAAATGGATATTGGATTTCATCCAAAGAATTTTTAGCCTACTAAAAATATTTTAAGAGTATTTATATTACGGGAACCATTTCTCTCATTATGCACCTTTTTGTCATGTGTATAACATCATGTTTTAAATGTATGCACTAAAAGTAAAATCCTGGACCTGCGCAGTGGCTCACGCCTGTAATCCCAGCAGTTTAGGAGGCCAAGGCGGGCAGATCACTTGAGGTCAGGAGTTCCAGACCAGCCTGGCTAAAATTGAAACCCCATCTCTACTAAAAATACAAAAATTAGCCGGGTTTGTTGGCCAGCGCCTGTAATCCCAACTACTCCGGAGACTGAGGCAAGAGAATCGCTTGAACCCCTGAGGCAGAGGTTGCAGTGAGCCGAGATGCGCCACTGCACTCCAGCCTGGGCGACAGTGAGACTCCGTCTCAAAATAATAATAATAATAAAATTCTTTATATACTTGTTAGTGAAATCACTAAAATTGTCTATAATGTGCTCTAGACGGGACAGTATGAGTAAGAGGATAGGAAACCAGCTAACGTTTTGTTTTGGTTTTGCTGCTCATGGAGATCCCCAGCGCCCCCTCCAAGGCGTCCCTGTCCCAGGGGCTGCGGGGCCTGCACGGAAGGACAGGGGCGCCTCCCAGACCCACCCTTCCCGCCGCCACCCTCGGCTGGGAGCTCCCATCTCCTGTTCCTGTTGTCCCCCTCCTTCAATGCAGGGCTCTTGAGCAGAAGGCACTGCTGCACTGTGGCCGTATCTCCCTCTCTGGCCGTCTTGTGGATCCTGCCGAGCTCTCAATCTCGGCGGTGCTACCAGGAATCCGAGTAGAAGTGGTCAGGGATGGAGCCCAGGGCCACCTCATCCTTCTTCCTCCTGGAGCCAAACAGCTTCTTCATCGCGGCAGCTTCGGAGAAGCCTCAGCTACCCTGCAGCTCCCCTTCGCCTTTTCGCGGAATCCGGAGTCCAGTCACAATTAGCTAAGCCCGGGGCACCAAAGCCTTTAGCAGCGAAACCGCCGCTTCCGACCTCTCGGACCTAGTGAGCCAGGCAGAGCCTTTAGGCCCACGCCTGGGCACCACAGCCAGCCCGAGGCCCAGGAAGCCGCTCCCAGGCTGCGCGCGGCTGGCGCTGGGCTTCCAGTGCCGGACTGCCAGAACAGGCTGGGAGCGCTGGGGTCTTGGCGCTCTGCAGCCACCAGAGATCTGGCCGAGTGGGTCTGGTTACCCCCACCCCTGTGCCGCCACAGCCCGGCAGATCGCCTAGCTTGGCTGCCCCAGCTGCCGCATCTGTCCCTCTGTCCGCGTCTCTGGGAGCCCGGCGGGGTGGGAGGTTGCTGGCTGTTGCTGTCCACTCCGGATCCTGAGGCCGCCCAGGGTACTCCTACCCCGCCTGCCTCGGTGCCCCTGACCTGCAGTCGTCACCTGCACTCCAGGCGGGCAACAACAGCGAGGACACCCTGCCCGGCCAGGCTCCCAGCATCAGAGACGCTGGGTGGACAACGTGGTGGCGGCCAATCCAGGTGGTCCGCCAGACCGCGGCAGAGACAACGCAGAGGCTGCGGGTTAGGACTGCCCAGCGCTAGCGGCCCCCAGCTCTGTGCGCCCGCTGAGGAGGAGACAGCCAGCAGCGTGGTCAGGCAGGCTCTCGCGCTGAGGAGGCAGTGCACTCAGGATACTGAGGCCGCCCAGAGCACGCCCCGCCAACCCACCTAGGCGCCTGAGCTGCAGCCTCTGCGCCGTCTCTGCCGCGGTCCGGCAGGCCGCCTGGATTGGCCGCCGCCGCTGCTGCCACCACGGTGTCCACCCAACGACTCTAATGTGGGAAGTCTGGCGGTGGAGGGTGTCGCGGGCTCTCCGGCAGACCCGTAGCTGGTGGTGGAGCTGAGGGCCCTGGGGCATGGCGGGCAGGGACTTGAGGCCCGCAGGAGGAGGGGGCCGTGCCGATGCTGGCTGTGCCGGGGCTGCCTGAGAACCCGCGGAGGCTGGGGGGCGAAGACGCGCGGCACAGGTGCGCAGGAACGCGGTGGTGGCAGGGTCCCAGACTGCCCAGCCTAGGACGGGCGGGATACCGGACTGTAGAGCAGACGAAGGGCGGGGTCTCAGCTACGGAGCTATGGACCCAAGGATGGGCGTGCGCACGCCGCGCTGCCTGACCAGTCTGCGGGCCGGTTGTGCTTGCCGGGGGACAAGGGCTCCAGAAGCAGTCAAGGGATTCTCCTGCCTCAGTCTCCTGAGTAGCTGGGACTAGAGGCGCCCGCCACCCGCACCATCACGCCCAGCAAATTTTTTTTTTAATTTTTTTTTTTTATTATACTCTAAGTTTTAGGGTACATGTGCACATTGTGCAGGTTAGTTACATATGTATACATGTGCCATGCTGGTGCGCAAATTTTTTTGTATGTTTAGTAGAGATGGGGGTTTCGCCATTTTGGCCAGGCTGCTCTCGAACTCCTGTCCTCAAGTGATCCGCCCGCCTCGGCCTTCCAAAGTGCTGAGATTACAGGTGTAAGCCACCGCGTCCGGCCCTTTTTCGGGTCCGGGATGGAAATCGAGGCAGCCCAGCCCCTGGCCGAAGGACCCGTGGGCGCTGCGCTCACCGCCCAGGGAGCAGAGGCATTGGTGTTAGAGTTCCCATACCTGGGGAATCGAGGGGCCTCCTGGTGGTCCCTCACGAGAAGGGGCGGGCACAGGGGGAGGAGGAGCGCGTCCCGGTGTAGCGGTGGCTGGAGTGGGCCCCTCCAACTGGGGTGGTCTCCCGAGGGGCGCGGCTGCTTGGAGTAGACAGGATTTGTGGGATTTTCCTCCCGTCCTAGGAGGAGCGAGGCTGGGGACAGGGCGGTAGGTTTGAGATCTGGCTTCCTGTGAACTTGGAAACCCGTCACCCCCTCGCCGGGGGAAAAAGGAGGGACTGAGCATGAGCCCCGGACTCCGAGTGGGATTCTCCCAGGATCCTCCCGCGGCCCTGAACATCCAGGAGACCCGGGAGACTGGCAGGACGCCCCATCCAGCTGCTCGCCCAGCCCACTCTGCGGCCGGAGGGAACCCTGGGGGGCAAGCCATGACCGGGGTCCCAGGTCACAGCCCCAGAGCTGACCGCGGGAGGGACGGGGCCACCAGCTCCATATGCGGCCCGCCAGCCGCATCCCGCCGGCTCCACCAGCCCATCCCCAGTCTGGGGACGCCTGCCCCTTTCACTCACCATTCTCGTCTTCGGGGCTGTCCTGGCGTCCTCCCTATGGCTCCTGGAGTGTGCAGATCTCAGCGAACAGCAGAGACGCCAAACCCAGTGCAGCGGGCGCGAGAAGCAGGACTCTGCCAGAAACAGCAACGAAGCCCAGCACCTGCGGGTGACAGCTTCACACCTGACTGAACAGTGTGCACGGTCCCCAGCCCCCCTGATTGGACACTGACTCAGGTTCCCCGCCCTGGCTGGAGGCTGAGTGGAGTGGGAATGACAGGTTCATGGCTACAGGGCACGCATCCTCCCTGTGCCCGGACGTGATATTTGCATTTATACAGGACTTTCTTCAGGCTTTGCCAAGTAGACACTGGCATTGCCTGTATGCAGTGGGCCCTTCCTGATTTTTCCTCCTGGGCAGGGTGGGTCACAAGTAGGAGGAGGAAACTCCACACTGAGTCTAATGGAGAGAGTAATCCCCGGGCCTCAGAGCAGCAAGGGTGCCCAGGCCTGGTGAGGCAAGACTAAAGCAGGAGGGAGTCACGCCTGTAATCCCAGCAGTTTGGGAGGCAGAGGTGGGTGAATCATTCGAGGTCAGGAGTTCAAGACCAGACTTGCCAACATGGTGAAGCCCTGCCTCTACTAAAAATACGAAAATTAGCCTGCCTTGGTGGCAGATGCCTGTAGTCCCAGCTACTGGGGAGACTGAGGCAGGAGAATCACTTGAACCCAGGAGGCAAAGGTTGCAGTGAGCCGAGGTCATGCCACTATACTCCAGCCTGGGGAACAGAGCAAGACTCCTTCAGAAAGAAAGAAAGAAAGAAAGAGGGAGGGAGAGAGAGAGACAGAGAGGGAGAGAGAGAGAGAGAGAGAAAGCAGGAGGGAGGGCCACTGGGATGAGGCTGCTGTGGGGCAAGGCCAAGGCTTTCTCATACCCTATCTTTCAATCTATTCATTCGCAGCCAAGAAGATAGACACACCAACAAGAACATCATTATTAAATGCATGGAAAAACTGGAGTTATATGACAGCAATATTCAATAAAGGAACTAAAGGAGAATAAAAGCAAACATTTAAACTAGATCAGAGAAGCAGCCCCCTGCACCTACAGTTCGCAAGGAAAACCCTCATTCGGGAGGCTAAGAGTATTCCAAGCTTGGGAGTCAGACTCTGACCCCTCGCATTGAGCCTGGGGTGGAACAGACCAGGAACCTAAGGATTGAACTGTGAGCTCAACATGCTTCCCTGACCATCCTCAGCGTGGCAACACTCCCTCCTTTAGTGCCTTAACATCCACCAGCAAGAAGCTCTCACATGGCATCAGTTTAGGATTCTGACCTGAATAAACTGTCAAATTCATAAACCCTTTCTCCAGTCTGAAGCTGTAAGAGTGACCTTCACAGATTTTCTTCACTTATGCATCAACCTAATGGCAGAAGCTGGGGCAAAATTAATAGAGGGTTCATTTGGCCTGAGGTTGAGGACAACTTCCCAGGATACACTTCCAATTGGCCTTGGGGAGTGCTCTGGAGAATAAAGCAGAGGCTTGAGTTTTAAGAAAAAAGGACAAATCACAAAGAACTTACAAAAGTTGTCCAGGAATTCTCATTGGTTCATACAAATAACATTGGTTAGTGACTCATTACATTGTTGAACTATTGGGTAAAAGTTCTACTTAGCATTAATTTAGAGCCCACAGAACAAGTGGCTTCAAGAGGTGATTAGCTCAAGTGGAGAGTGAGATATGACTCCTGTTACATTTTAAATGCCTCTCTGGGCCTGATTTAAAGGAACTTTAATTTTTTTTTCTTTTTCATTACAAACTACAGTCTGACTCCCGCAATTCTAATACCAAAATGAAAACATTGTCCAGGAAATGGTCCCAGACACTGGAGGTAAAGCCTCAGAAAGGACAGAACTCAACATGCTCTCTTGCTCCGTTCTCAGCCCCCACAACCACATCTGCATGCAGGTCTCCAGCTTTCCAGGTCTCTGTAGCTTCCAGAATCCACACCCCTTAGCTGTTCCAAATAGCTGGAGGCTACGTGCAGGGGAGGGCAGGCTGCCCAGGAAACACCAAGGGAAGCTCCTTCCCTATATTCACAGGCTCAAGGCTGGCCTCAGCTTGGAGTCACTGGCTTCAGTCTATGCCACCCACTGCAGGCTCCTCGCCTGCTTCACACCAGCCCACTGATACTTTAAATGAGACAAACACTCTCAATTTAAGTTTGAATAAGAAAACAGAGTCCCTGCTTTCCTCATGCACTAAACAGGTGTATCTTGTTTAACTGCACTTTGTTTTATTCTGCTTTGCAGATATTGCATTTTTTTAACCAATTTAAGGTTTATGTCAACCGTGCATAGAGCAAGTCTATTTGGGCCATTTTTTCTGATAGTATGTGTTCACTTTTTGTCAGTGTCTCATTTTTGTAATTCTCGTAGTAGCTCAAATTTTTCATTATTATTATTATTATATCTGTTATGATGATCTGTGATGAGTGATCTTTTATGTTAGTATTGTAATTGACAGAGCAGAAGCATCACCATCTTGGACAAGCCCTCATTCTAAAGTTCACCTTACTCAAAAACCACCTAAATCCAAAGGGCATCAGCCTAATGGTTAAGATCAGCATGACCATAAACCACATATAACATCTCCAGCCAGAAACATTCCAAACTTGTCCCCAACCAGAGACATGCTAGCCCCGAAATAACCCCCCTCCAGCCAGAAAGAGGTCAGCCCCAAGATAACCAACCTCCCCTCTGCCCAGAGACATTCCACAATGTTATGTGACATTCCAACCCCACCATAAATTCCTCCCCCACACAGAAACAATCCAGGCTTGTGATAAGCCCCTTCACCCTAAAACCAATATATACTCTTAGTCTGTAAGAGAGAATGTTCCTGACTAAAATCGGCCCAGATGCCCCTCTCAGGTTTATTTTCTCTAAAATAAATCTGTCATTAACTGTTAAGCTGCATTTTGTGTTTCTTTCCTCGTTCTTTAACTCTTACATTTGGTGCTGAAACCCGGGATGGGTGTTATGGGCAGAGGCTCTCTTGCAACCCAGGAAACAGTGGACAATGGCAGCTTATCCTGAGTTAACTCCTGGATCCTGAGGGTCTTTGGCTACCTGCCCCATCTTTTCTCTCACTTCACTTTTCTAGCGATTTGCTTAATCCCTGAAAGGGATTGCGAGGCTCTGGGTGGTGATACTCCCCAGAGAGTTCTCAAAACCCTCAGGTCTCAGGAATCCACCTCCAACCACCCACAACGGGTATTTCACTCTCTCCTTTCCTCTTCCCTCATCCTCCCTTCTCTCTTTGTCTCTCCCTTGTGCGGCTCCAGTCTAAGGGGCCCTTTGCCAATTCCAACTGGAACATCCAACATTGGACACTAATCCAGCCAACTAGTAAAATCTGCCCTCCCCTGCTTTTCTCACAGCACCTGGGAAAGTCAGGTCTGCTGTCCTTGTCCTTTCAGGACTAGCAGGACTAAGCTAGAAGAAATCATAGGGATGCCCAGCTTCTTCTCAGCTTGACCATCCTCTTTAGAAAGAGGGCTCTGGGTCTCTTGGGTCTCTGTCTTTTGTCTGGGGATGCTTAGAACAAAAACAGACACCTTCAGCTTCTTCTCACCAGTCCACATGGGTGCCAAACAATCTCACATTCTTACAATACCCCCACTGGGCTGCTTCCTTCATAAACTCACCAAACATGGCTTACATGGAAGCATAAAGCCAAAGCATTTAGTCTTTTATTGCAACATGGCCTGGCCCAAATACACATTAGATAATGACATCTGATGGCCCAAAAATGGCACTTCTGAGTTGCAAATTCTCAGGGACCTTGACAAATTTATAACCAGGAATGGCAAATGCAAGAGGTTATCTATATTCAGGCTTTCTTCTACCTTAGATCTCGCCCTTCCCTATATCAAGCTTGCACTCGTCATGAAATCCTTCTTCTCGAGAAAGGATTTCCTCCTTCCTCCAAAACCCCTTTTGACTTTGCAGATGAACCTCCTCCATATTCCCATCCCACTGCATCTGCTCCTCATCCATCCTAACCCTCCGCCCTGGTGGTCCCTCCTGCCCCAGATTCTCCAGCCCCAAACCCTGCTCCTCCTTCTTCTCCACCTGTTACCTGTCCAAAAACTGCTCAAACCACCCATGCTATTCTCCCTATCCTGGAAGTGGCTGGGGCTGAAGGCATTGCTCACATTCATGTCCCTTTCTCCATGTCTGATTTGTTGCAGATGAAACAGTCCCGAGGAACTTTCTCTAAAAATCCCTCTCATTATTGCAGGGAATTCCTGCACATAATCCAATCAAAGAGAGCGCTCAGCTGAATTAAAATGAATATCCAAGCTACGAGTATATTCAAAAAGGCCTTTATGTTTTTCTCTTTAAGAAATCTTGTTTTCCTGGAAAGGGTTTTTTGGTTTGTTTGCTTGTTTGTTTGTTTGTTTTTGAGACAGGGTCTTTCTCTGTCATCCAGGCTGGAGTGCAATGGCATGATCTTGGCTCACCACAACCTCCACCTCCTGGGTTCAAGCAATTCTCCTGCCTCAGCCTCCCGAGTAGCTGGGATTACAGGCATGCACCACCATACCTGGCTAATTTTGTATTTTTAGTAGAGACAGGGTTTCTCCATGTTGGTCAGGCTGGTCTTGAACTCCTGACTTCCGGTGATCTGCCTGCCTCGGCCTCCCAAAATGCTGGGATTACAGGTGTGAGCCACCGCACCCGGCCGGAAAAGGTTTTTTCCTAGTCAGCTGAATTACTCTTCTCCACTCTGTCTTGCCACTCTTGGTGCATGTATGAAAAACCCTAAAATAACTTCTGGTGACCTAAGACTCCTTGGGAAAACAGAAAATGTGCCACAAATCCCGTTTTGGGAAAAATCTCTGTTTTCCTTATGGAACCACTGGAATTAGAGGTAAATAAGTACCTTTCAAAATGTCTTTGTCTTCCAGCTATGCTTATTTATTAGGCCCTGGAAACTATTTTCCTGGCCTTGCTCTTAAAGGGTCTCACCCAAAGGCCAATAATCCAATTAGGAAATTAGCAGAAAAAAAATTATAACTACTGTATCTTCTTCTGGTTGTCTGTGTGGCTATATATGTGTTTATATGTGTTATGCATGTAATGTCTATTTAAAAAGCTCTAATTAATTGGCCTAAAAATAAGCATTTAAATCAAATATTTTTAAGTAAAAAGTAAAAGCTGTGGGACCTTTCAGTTTATGTGACTTTAATCTTTAAAGATTACTGGTACAGTAAGATTAGAAACGTCTTAAGAGTTGCCAGCATACATTTTTGTTTGCATTTACTAATCAAGCAATTTCATACTCATCTCTGCCAAGTGCTATAAAGTGTCAAAATTTGGCATAGAGGCTACAAAACTGTAACTCAGCCCAAACAGAATAATGTTTGCTTATGTAATTTTTAAATAAATGGAGCAGTCCTTTCATGGACTTTGCAGGGACATGGAACCATGTCCTTTGCAGGAACATGGATGAATCTGGAAGCCATCATTCTCAGCAAACTAACACAAGAATAGAAAACCAAACAATGCTTGTTGTCACTCATAAGAGGAAGTTGAACAATGAGAACACATGGACACAGGGAGTGCAACATCACACACCAGAGCCTGTCAGGGGGGTTGGGGTCAAGAGGAGGGAGAGCATTAGGGCAAATACCTAATGCATGCAAGACTTAAAACCTAGATGATGAGTTGATGAGTGCAACAAACCAACATGGCACAAGTATACTTATGTAACAAACCTGCATGTTCTGCACCTGTATCCCAGAACTTAAAGTAAAATAAAAAAAGAAAAAGAAAACTGTTCAAATCAAAACCTGTTGAATTCTGTGAAAGAAAACATCACACCATACCATATATGTGTGCCATATCTTATTTTTAGCGTTTACAGCTGGTTATGTCTATGTGCCTGGAAAGACTAGCCTAGCTCAGAAGTGTTTGCTCTGAGCTTGTACAAAACATTGCTTTGAAAACTGTTCAAAGGCGGCCGGGCACGGTGACACACGCCTGTAAACCCAGCACTTTGGGAGGCCGAGGTGGGCGGATCAGGAGGTCAGGAGATCGAGACCATCCTGGCTAAAACGGTGAAACCCTGTCTCTACTAAAAATACAAAAAATTAGGTGGGCGTGGTGGCGGGCGCCTGTAGTCCCAGCTACTCAGGAGGCTGAGGCAGGAGAATGGCGTGAACCTGGGAGACAGAGCTTGCAGTGAGCCGAGATCGCGCCACTGCACTCCAGCCTGGGCGACAGAGCGAGACTCCGTCTCGGAAAAAAAAAAAAGAAAGAAAGAGAGAGAGAGAGAGAGAAAGAAAGAAAGAAAGAAAGAAAGAAAGAAAGAAAGAAAGAAAGAAAGAAAGAAAGAAAGAGAGAAAGAAAGAGAGAGAGAAAGAGAGAAAGAAAGAAAGAAAGAAAGAAAGAAAGAAAGAAAGAAAGAAAGAAAAAGAAAACTGTTCAAAGGCAAAACGTGGAATTCAGTGAAAGAATACTGCATATGATATGTGATTTTGGCACAAAGCTTGCTTTTGTTACTAGAGCTGGACTTCACCTCTTTTAATGAGGGCTGCCTGGGATAAAGTATTTTTTTATCTTCTATAAAACTAAGATTTGACAACTGTTCTTTAATAAGAATTTGTTTAATTTAATGAAAGAAAACAGCACATCATAATACATTTTGGAAAAAGTTTGCTATTAGCTTTGAAAGCTAGATATTCTCATTTTCTGTCAGAACCTAGTATGCTCAGAATTGTTTTGTCCAATTTTTGACAAGATTTGTCTTTGACAACTACTCTTAATCAAAACATGTTGAATTCATTGAAAGAAAACAGCACATCATCTGGGTTTTTGGCACAAAGCTTGTGTTTACCTTTTAAAGCTATATATTTGCATTTTCAGTGTGGGCCTACTAAGCTCAAAATTGTTTTTTCTGATATTTGACAAAATGTCTTGGCCAGGCAAGGCGGCTCATGCCTGTAAACCCAGCACTTTGGGAGGCCGAGGCAGGAGAATCTCTTGAACCCAGCAGGCGGACGTTGCAGTGAGCCGAGATCCTGTCACTGCATTCCAGTTTGAAAACTGCTGTTAGTTAATACATGTTAAATTCAGTGAAAGAAAACAGCACATCATATATTATTTGTGTGCTATATCTTGCTTTTAGCGTTTAGGACTGCATATGCATATCTTCCTGGAAGGGCTAACTTGGCTCCGAATAGTTTTTTTCAGAGCTTGTACAAAACGTGTTTTTGAAAATGATCAGTGTCAAAACATGTTGAGTTCAGTAAAATAAAACAACACATCATCTAGGTTTTTGGCACACAGCTTGCGTTTACATTTCAGGGCTAGATATTCGCATTTTCTTGTGGGCCTACTATGCTCACCATTGTTTTTTCTTGTATTTGACAAGGTGTCTCTTTGAAAAGTGCTTTTAGTTAACACATGTTGAATTCAGTGAAAGAAAACGGCACATCACATATTATTTTTGTGCCATAGCTTGCTGTCAGCATTTAAGGAGTTAAAACATATCTTCCTGGAAGCACTAACTGGGCTTTCAAATGTTATTTTCTGCGCATGTACAAAACGTGTTTTTGAAAAATGATAAAAGTCAAAACATGATGAATTCAGTGAAAGACAAGAGCACATCATCTGAGTTTTTGGCACAAAGCTTGAGGTTACCCTTTAGGGTTAGATATTTGCATTTTCTCTGTGAAACTACTATGTTCAGAATTGTGTTTCCTGAGCTTTGACAAGATGTGTCTTTGAAAACTGCTCTTAGGTAATACATGTTGAATTTAGGGAAAGAAATAGCACATCATGCATTATTTGTGTGCCATATCTTGCTTTTTGCATTTAGGGCTGTATATGCATATCTTCCTGGAAGCACGAACTGGACTTTTAAAAGTTTTTTTTGAGCTTTACAAAACGTTTCTTGAAAAGTAATCAATGTCAAAACATGTTGAGTTCACTTGGGAAAAAAAAGCACATCATCTACATTGTTAACACAAAGCTTGCGTTTACCTTTCAGGACTAGATATTCACATTTTCTGTGTCGGCCTATTATGTTTGCAATTATTTCTTCCGATATTTGACAAGAGGTGTCTTTGAAAACTGCTCTTAGTTAATACATGTTAAGTTCAGTGAATAAAACAGCACAGCATACATTATTTATGGGCCATATCTTGCCTTTAGCATTCAGGACTGTATAAAGCATATCTCCCTGGAAGCACTAACTGGGCTGCGAAATTTTTTTTTTAGCTTGTACTAAACGTCTTTTTAAAAAGTGATCAATGTCAAAATATGTTGGATTCAATGAAAGAAAACCACTTCATCTAGGTTTTTGACACAAAGCTTGCATTTATTTATTGCAGCTGCATACTCGCATGTTGTGTGTGAACCTACTCTGCTCAGAATTGTGTTGTCTGAGATTTAACAAGTTGTTTCTTTAGAAACTGCTCTTCCTTAATACATGTTGAATTTAGTGAAAGAAAAGGGCACATCATAAATTATTTGTGTGCCATACATTGCTTTTAGCATTTAGGGCTCTATATGCACATCTTTCTGGAAGCAGTAACTGTGCTCGGAAATATTTTTTCTGGGCTTGTACAAAACGTGTTTTTGAAAAGTGATCAATGTCAAAACATGTTGAATTTAGTGAAAGAAAACAGCACATATTCTTTGTTTTTGCACAAACCTTGAGTTTACTTTTCAGCTCTGGAATGCATATGTTCTGTGTCAGCCTACTGTGGTCAGAATTGTGTTTTCTGAGATTTGACAAGCTGTGTCTTTGAAAACTGCTCTTGGTTAATACATATTGAACTCAGTAAAAAAGCACATCTTACATTATTTGTGCACCATATCTTGCTTTTAACATTTGGGAATATATGCACATATCTTCCTGGAAGCACTAAGAGCATTGAAATGTTTTACTTTGAGATTCTACAAAAAATGTTTTTGAAAAGTGATCAATGACAAAACATGTTGAGTTCAGTGAAAAAACCCAGCACATCATCTAGTTGTCTAACATAAATCTTGTGTTTACCTTTTAGGGCTAGATATTAGCATTTTCTGTGTAAGCCTACTATGGTCACAATAGTGTTTTCTGAGATTTGACAAGATGTCTTTTTGAAAACTGGTCTTGGTTAATAAATATTGAATTCACTGAAAGAACAAAGTACATCATACATTATTTGTATGTCATATCTTGCTTTTAGCATTTAGTGGTGTGTATGCATATCTTCCTGGAAGTGCTAACTGGGCTCCAAAATGTAATTTTCTGAGCTTGTAGAAAACGTGTTATTTAAAGGTGATAAATTTCAAAATACCCTGAATTCAGTGAGAGAAAACAACACATCATCTAGGTTTTTGGGATAAAGTTTGCATTTAACTTTTAGGGATAAATACTCTCATGTTCTTTGTGAGCCTACTGTGCTCAGAATTGTGTTTTCTGAGATTTGCCAAGAAGTGTCTTCAAAAACTGCTCTTAGTTAATACATTTTGAATTCAGTGAAAGAAAATAGCACATCATACATTATTGGTGTGCCATATCTTGCTTTTAGCATTTAGGGCTCTATATGCATATCTTCCTGGAAGCACGAACTAGGCTCTGAATGTTGTTCTCCTCAGCTTGTACAAAACATTTTCTTGAGAAGTGATCAATGTCAAAACATGTTGAGTTTAGTGAAAGAAAACAGCACATCATTTTGTTTTTTAACAAAACACTTGTGTTTACCTTGTAGGGCTAGATATTGACATTTTTCTGGGTGAGCCCACGATGCTCAGAATTGTGTTTTCTGAGATTTGACAAGATGTGTCTTTGAAAACTGCTCTTAGTTAATGCATGTTGAATTCAGTGAAAGAAAACAGCACATCATACATTATTTGTGTGCCATATTTAGCATTTAGGATTGTATATGCATATCTTTCTGGAAGAACTAACTGGGCTTTAAAATGTTTTTTTGGGGAGCTTGTACAGAACGTGCTTTTGGAAGGTGATCAACGTCAAAACATGGTGAGTTCAAAGAAAAAAAACACAGCACATCATCTACATTTTTGGCGCAAAGCTTGTATTTACCTTTAAGTGCTAGATACATTTTCTGTGTGGGCCTACTATGCTCAAAATTGTTTCTTCTGAGATTTGAGAAGAAGGGTCTTTGAAAACTGCTCTCAGTTTATACATGTTTAATTCAGTGAAAAAAGACAGCACTTCATACATTATTTGTGTGTCATATATTGCTTTAAGTATTTAGGGTGTCTATGCATATGTTCCTGGAAGCTCTAACTGGGCTCCCAAATGTTATTTTCTGAGTGTGTACAAAACATATTTTTAAAAAGTGATCAATGTCAAAACATGTTGAATTTAGTGAAAGAAAACTGCGTATCATCTAGGTTTTTGGCACAAAGCTTGCATGTACTTTTTATGCCTAGATACTTGCATGTTTCGTGTGGGTGAACTGTGCTCATAATTGTGTTTTCTGAGATTTGACAAGTTGTGTCTTTTAAAATTGCTCTTAATTAATACGTGTTGAGTTCAGAGAAAGAAAACAGCACATCATACATTATCTGTGTGCCATATATTGCTATTAGCATTTATGACTATATATGCATCTCTTCCTGGAAGTGCTAACTGGGCTTTAACATTTTTTGTGTGTGTGCTTGTACAAAACATGATTTCGAAATGTGACCAATGCCAAAACATGTATAGTTCAGTGAAAGAAAACAAAGCATCATCTAGGTTTTTGACACAAAGCTTGCATTTGCCGTTTAGGTCTAGATATTCGCATCTTCTGTGTGGGCCTGTTATGCTCACAATTGAGTTTTCTGAGATTAAAGAAGATGTGCCTTTCAAAACTGCTCTTAGTTAATACATGTTAAATTCAATAAAAGAAAATATTATGAGGTCAAGAGATCGAGACCATCCTGGCCAACATGGTGAAACCATGTTTTGTGCCATATCTTGCTTTTAGCATTTAGGTCTCTATATGTATATCTTCCTGGAAGTGCAAACTGGGCTTCAAAATGTTTTTTTTTTTTTTTCTGAGCTTCTACAAAACATGTTTTTTTAAAGTGACCAATGTGAAAACATGTTTATTTCAGTGAAAGGAAACAGCACATCACCTTGGTTTTGGGCCAAACCTTGTGTTTACTTTTTAGGACTAGATACTTACATTACCTGTGGGTGGTTACTATGCTCACAATTTTTTCTTCTGAGATTTGACAAGATGTGTCCTTGAAAACTGCTCTTAGTTAATGCATGTTGAATTCAGGGAAAGAAAACAGCACATCATACATTATTTTTGTGCCATATCTTGCTTTAAGTATTTAGGGCTGTATGTGCATATCTTCCTGGAAGTGCTAACCGGGCTCTAGAATGTTATTTTTTGACAGTGTACAAAACGTGTTTTTGAAAAGCGTCAATGTCAAAACATGTTGAATTCAGTGAAAGAAAACAGCACATCATCCAGGTTTTTGGCACAAAGCTTAAAATCTCTTGTGTTTATGAAGAAAACTGATGATAATTATGTTACATATGCATTTCGTGTCTTATTCCATGATGTGCACTTTGAATCTACTGTGGACCTAGATAGACTTGCCTCATTTTTACATGGGAACAATTGAGTTTCTTTCTTTTTTTTGAGACAGAGTCTCAGTCTGTCACCAGGCGGGAGTGCATGGCACGATCTTGGCTCACTGCAACCTCTGCCTCTTGGGTTCAAGCGATTCTCCTGCCTCGGCCTCCCGAGTACCTGTGCGCCACCACACCCAGCTAATTTTTGTATTTTTAGTAGAGACGGGGTTTCACCATGTTGGGCAGGATGGACTCAATCTCTTGACCTCTTGAGCCACTGTGTGCGGCCACAATTCAGTTGCTTAACACTAGTATCCTTTATAAAAATCTCTGATTCCCAGGGGAATCCAGAATGGAGTGGTGCATTGGGAAGAGAACATCTTTTATTAACTAAAGTGGTTTTCAATTTAAAGTGTGTTCATTAAAAGCCTTCATAAAGGCAATCATAGCACACTGTGTTTTCTTTTTCTTTTTTCTTTTTCTTTTTTTTTTTTTTTTTTGAGAAGGAGTTTTGCTCTTGTCTCCCAGGCTGGAGAGCAATGGCACAATCTCGGCTCATTGCAACATCCACCTCCCAGGTTTAAGCGATTCTCCTGCTTCAGCCTCCCCAGTAGCTGGGATTGCAGGTGCTCGCCACCATACCCAGCTAATTTTTGTATTTTTAGTAGAGATGGGGTTTTGCCATGTTAGCCAGGCTGGTCTCGAACTCCTGACCTCAGGTGATCCACCTGCCTCGGCCTCTCAAAGTGCTGGGATTACAGGCGTGAGCCACTGTGCCCGGCCCGCACCGTGTTTTCAATTCCAGAAGTCAATCGTCCATCTATGCCTTTTTTATTGCATTCAAATTTATCTTCTGCTTTACATGAGATTTTATGCTCTTAACATTTAATTAGCCACACAATCAGTTGGGTCCATGCAAATGTTTTTCATTTATGAATGCAGTAATAAATAAGATAACTCCTAGGAGAAAAATACGCAAGAGTCTGGTAATTAATTGGAAATTCAATAAAGAGGTCTAAGAAACAAAGATTAACCAAAGTCTCAAATAATGTATCTATTACAATATGCATTATTAAGCATGCAATAAATACACACACACACACACACACACACACACACACACACACAGAGAGAGAGAGAGAGAGAGAGAAAATATAAGGAAGCTTCCTCAATCTGATAAAGAGTATCCACTAAGATTCTTCTGCTATAATTATGCTTAATTGTGAAAGATTGAATGATTTTGCCACTAAGATCTGGAACAAGACAAGGACAGTGGTCTTATTCAATATCATATCATCAACTTAGCCAGTGCAATAAAGTGAGAAACAGAAAAGGAAAGGTATACAGATTGGAAAGAAAGAAATAAAACCACCTTTAATTTCAGATGACATGACTAAAAATTCTGTAAAATCAATTTTAAAAGCTATTAGAACAAATAAGTGAGTTTAACAAGGTTTTAGAAAACAAGGCCAGTATTTAAAAAATTAGTTGTATGTCTACACACTGGCAATGAACAACTGGAAACTGAAATTTGAAAAACATTACTATTTACAGTAGCTCAAAAATATCCCCAGTGCATGGCATAGAGAAGGACAACAGAGAATGCCTAATAAATGTTTATTGACTTACTGACTGAGACCAGAGAGGGTCATAAGGGCCATGCTGAAGTTCTTGTATATGATGATAACAAATTTAGGCTTTTCTCTGAAAGCAATGGGAAGTCAATAACTGTTTCTAAATTGCCAAGTAAAATTGTATCACTTGATATGATATTGAACATTGTTCTAAGTACTACAAGCAATGGCAACTGGGATAACTGTGAGAAGGAGTTTCAGAATGATTTCATTTAACATAGATTACTATGTACTTGACTTTGTTCTAAAATTTTTACAAATGTTAAACTCGTGTACTATTCAGAACAACTCTAGAGGTAAATTCTGTTATCATCTGCACTTTGAAGAAGAAGAGACTGAGGTTGAGAGAGGATACATTTTGCAGGTCATGCAGCAGGAAGATATGAGGCTGAAAGGAGGAAGTGGCTGGATAACATCAGCAAGACAGCATGGATCCAAATGACCATCTCAGACTTTTCACCAAATTACTAGAGAGAAATCCTGAGGAGTCCGACCACCTGCTTTAAGTGGTTGGAGGAATGATGACTTTTGTTCAACAGTGTCATGCAAAGGCAGAGAGAAGGGTATCTGGCACATAGTTGGTATACAATTAAAGGAAAAATAAATATATAATTACCATAATATCACCATATTTACAGAAGGGACCAATTAACTCTTTTGCTTTATGGCTTCATAGGCACATATTGTATGCATTAAATTCACTAATTTTAAGTGTTTTGAATTATTCAAACTTTAGTAAATATATATAGTCATAAAATCCTCATGACAATCAGGTTTTAGAGCAAAATACCCAAATTTTCTTTGCAGTCAATCCCCACCCCAACTCCAACTACAGGCCATCTGTCATTACAGTTTAGGCTTTCCTAGAATTTCATGTGAATGAAATTATGAAGCATGGAGTTTTTTTCTGTCTGGTGAATTTTACTTAGCATGATGTTGGACATTCATTCATGTTGCTGCAGGTATCAGCAATTCATTCCTTTAACTGCCAAGTAGTATTCCATTACATGTACATATTACATTTTATTTTTCCATTTATAAGTTATTAGAAATTTAGATGATTCCCCCTATTGGGGCATTTTGAGTAACATGGTTATGGATATTCATGGACAAAACTTCATGTATAAATATTTCACTTAAGTAGATAACTAGGAGTGGAATTGATGGGTCTTATGTAAGTGTATATTTAACTTTTTAAGTAACAGTCAAACTCTTTTCAAAACTGGATGAGGATGACCTATAATCCTTCAGGCTGAAATGAAGAAACACTGGATAGTAACTTGAAGCCATATGCAGAAATGAAGAATTCAGGTAAATGTAACTACATGAGAAAATATGAAGCTAGCATTACTGCATGTTCTAATCTGTAATACTTTCTTTTTTTACTATATGATTGAAAAGATAAATTCATAGAACAATAATTATAAGACTATGTTAATGGGCACACAAAGAGGAGTTGCTAACTAGAATAACTAGTTTAGAGAGGAACATAAATAACCTTATGGAAAAACACAGCACGAGAACTTTGTGAAGAATACACAAGTATCAATAGCCGAATTGATCAAGTGGAAGAAAGGATATCAGAGATTGAAGATCAACTTAATGAAATAAAGCATGAAGACAAGATTAGAGAAAAAAGAATGAAAAGGAATGAACAAAGCCTCCAAGAAATATGGGACCATGTGAAAAGACCAAACCTACGTTTGATTGGTGTACCTGAAAGTGACAGGGAGAATGGAGCCAAGTTGGAAAACACGCTTCAGGATATTATCCAGGAGACCTTCCCCAACCTAGAAAGACTGGCCAACATTCAAATTCGGGAAATACAGAGAACACCACAAAGATAGTCCTCGAGAAGAGCAACCCCAAGACAAATAATTGTCAGATTCACCAAGGTTGAAATGAAGGAAAAAATGTTGAGGGCAGCCAGAGAGAAAGGTCGGGTTACCTACAAAGGGAAGCCCAACAACAGATCTCTCTGAACAAACCCTACAAGCCAGGAGAGAGTGGGGGCCAATATTCAACATTCTTTGTTTTTTTCAAATTTATCTTTATTAAAATGTGTACTAGAAGCATATGAGTCACAAAAGGAGCTGCTTAAGTCTGACCAAGGTAATGAGCAATTTGACCATTTTGCCATTGATTATTTTTGGAATATTTATATTTGGGGGAGGGATAAAGAACATTCAAATTTAAGTATTATTCACTGGGTTTGAGAGCTGAGTATAGGTGATGCCTAATTGCCTATGTTACCTTCTACTTTACTTTCAAGAAACCCACAATGACCTGTGATTGTGTTGTTAAAAACTCAGGTTCCAAATAAAAAAAAGTTCCTTTTCCCCTTTGCACCTTGTCACTTGCAAATCAATGAAAGCCCTATTTGCTCACCATTCTTAAAGAAAAGAATTTTCAACCCAGAATTTCATATCCAGAGACTAACAGCAGATCTCTCTGCACAAACCCTACAAGCCAGGAGAGAGTGGGGGCCAATATTCAACGTTCTTAAAGAAAAGAATTTTCAACCCAGAATTTCATATCCAGCCAAATTAAGCTTCATAAGTGAAGGAGAAATAAAATCCTTTACAGACAAGCAAAAGCTGAGAGGTTTTGTCACCACCAGCCCTGCCTTACAGTGCTTCCTGAAGGAAGCACTAAATATGGAAAGGAAAAACTTGTACCAGCCACTGCAAAAACATACCAAATTATAAAGACCATCGACACTATGAAGAAACTGCATCAATTAACAGACAAAATAACCAGCTAGCATCATAATGACAGGATCAAATTCACATATAACAATATTAACCTTAAATGTAAATGGGCTAAATGCCCCAATTAAAAGACACAGACTGGCAAATTGGATAAAGAGTTAAGACCCATCAGTGTGCTGTATTCAGGAGACCCATCTCATGTGCAAAGACACACATAGGCTCAAAATAAAGGGATGGAGGAATAGTTACCAAGAAAATGGAAAGCAAAAAAAAGACAGGGGTTGCAATCCTAGTCTCTGATAAAACAGTCTTTCAACCAACAAAGATCAAAAAAGACAGAGAAGGGCATTACATAATGGCAAAGAGATAAATGCAACAAGAAGAGCTAACTATCCTAAATATATATGCACCCAATACAGGAGCAACGTCATTCATAAAGCAAATTCTTACAGACCTACAAAGAGACTTGGACTCTCACGCAATAATAGTGGGAGACTTTAACACCCCGCTGTCAATATTAGATCAATAAGACAAAATTATTAAGGATATTTAGGGATTGAACTCAGCTCTGGAACAAGCAGACCTAATAGACATCTACAGAACTCTCCACCCCAAATCAACAGAATATACATTCTTCTCAGCACCACATTACACTTATTCTAAAATTGATCACATAATTGGTATTAAAGCACTCCTCAGCAAATGCAAAAGAATGGAAATCATAACAAACAGCCTCTCAGACCACAGTGAGATCGAATTAGAACTCAGGATTAAGAAACTCACTCAAAACTGCACAACTACATGGAAACTGAACAACCTGCTCCTAAATGACTACTGGGTAAATAGCAAAATTAAGGCAGAAATAAATAAGTTATTTGAAACCAATGAGAACAAAGACACATTATACCAGAACCTCTGGAACACAGCTAAAGCAGTGTTTACAGGGAAATTTATAGCACTAAATGCCCACAGGAGAAAGCAGGAAGGATATAAAATCAACACCCTAACATCACAATTAAAAGAACTAGAGAAGCAAGAGCAAACAAATGCAAAAGCTAGCAGAAGACAAGAAATAACTAAGATCAGAGCAGAACTGAAGAAGAGACATGAAAAAATCCTTCAAAAAATCAATGAATCCAGGAGCCGGTTTTTGAAAAGATTAACAAAATTGATAGACCACTAGCCAGACTAATAAAGAAGAAAAGAGAGAAGAATCAAATAGACACAATAAAAAATGAAAAGTGGAGATCACCACTGATCCCACAGAAATACAAACTACAATCAGAGAATAAACACCTCTACGCAAATAAACTAGAAAATCCAGAAGAAATGGATAAATTCCTGGACACATACACCCTCCCAAGACTAAATCAGGAAGAAGTCAAATCCCTGAATAGACTAATAATAAGTTCTGAAATTGAGGCAGTAATTAATAACCTACCAACCAAGAAAGCCCAGGACCAGACAGATTCAAGGCCAAATTCTACTAGAGGTACAAAGAGGAGCTGGCAACATTTCTTCTGAAACTATTCCAAACAATAGAAAAAGAGGGACTCCTCCCTAACTCATTTTATGAGGCAAACATCATCCTGATACCAAAACCTGGCAGAGACACAACAAAAAAAGAGAATTTGAGGCCAATATCCCTGATGAACACTAATGTGAAAATACTCAATAAAATACTGGAAAACCAAATGCAGCAGCACATCAAAAAGCTTATCCACCATGATCAAGTCGGCTGCATCCCTGGGATTCAAGGCTGGTTCAACATAAGCAAGTCAATAAACATAATCCATCACATAAACAGAACCAATGACAAAAACCACATGATTACCTCAATAGATGCAGAAAAGGCCTTCAATAAAATTCAACACCCCATTCATGCTCAAACTCTCAATAAGCTAGGTATTGATGGAACATAGCTCAAAATAATAAGAGCTAGTTATGACAAACCCATAGACAGTATTATACTGAATGGGCAAAAGCTGGAAACATTCCCTTTGAAAACCTGCACAAGACAAGGATGCCCTCTCTCACCACTCCTATTCAGCATAGTATTGGAAGTTCTGGCCAGGGCAATCAGGCAAGAGAAAGTAATAAAGGGTATTCCAATAGGAAGAGAGGAAGTCAAATTGTCTCTGTTTGCAGATCACATGATTCTATATTTAGAAAACCCCACTGTCTCAAGCCAAAATCCCGTCAAGCTGATCAGCAATTTCAGCAAAGGCTCAGGATACAAAATCAATGTGCAAAAATCACAAGCATTCCTACACACCAATAATAGATAAACAGAGAGCCAAATTGAGAGGTGACAAAGTGCTAGCAGCCCTCGCTCGCTCTCGGCGCCTGCCGGCGCCTCCTCGGCCTCAGCGTTCCCTGTGGCCGCGCTCGTGGAGCCCTTCAGCCGGCCTCTGTGCACTCTGCTCCAGGGGAAGTGTGAAGAGAGAGGCGCGGGAGGGAGCCCGGGCTGGGCGCCGCGCTCGAGGGCAGGCGCGGGTTCCAGGTGAGCGCGGCTCCGCAAGCCCCGCACTCAGGCGTGGCCGGCCTCACCTGCTAGGCTTGATAGGAAGCTGAATTCCCTGCGTAGACCGCCGTTCCCTCTTCACGGGATCGTTGGCCAAGATAGCAGGTCTCCGTCTCTTTCTGCTTCCCCTCTTTCCCTCTTGATTGTCTGGGAGGAGCTCCCTCTGGGCTGCTGGAGTGCCCGGGCTAGGTGTCGCAAAGTCCCGCTGCCCTGCCAATGCCAGTGAGAGATGAAGCCGGCTGGGCTTCTGGGACGGATGGGGACTTGGAGAACTTTTCTGTCTAGCTAAAAGATTGTAAACGCACCAATCAGCACTGTGTCTAGCTAAAGGTTTGTAAACGCACCAGTCAGCGCTCTGTGTCTAGCTAATCAGGTAGGGGACTTGGAGAACTTTTGTGTCTAGCTAAAGGTTTGTAAACGCACCAATCAGCACTCTGTCAAAACGGACCACTCAGCACTCTGTAAAATGGACCGATCAGCTCTCTGTAAAATGGACCAGTCAGCATTATGTGGGTGGGGCCAAATAAGGGAATAAAGGCAGGCCACCGGGAGCCAGCTGCGGCAACCCGCTCTGGTCTCCTTCCACGGTGTGGAAGCTTTGTTCTTTCGCTCTTCACAATAAATCTTGCTGCTGCTCACTCTTTGGGTCCGCGTCACCTTTATGAGCTGTAGCACTCCCTGCAAAGGTCTGCAGCTTCACTTCTGAGGCCAGCGAGACCACAAACCCACCAGAAGGAACGAACAACTCCAGACACGCTGCCTTTAAGAGCTGCAACACTCACCGTGAAGGTCTGCAGCTTCATTCCTGAAGTCAGCGAGACCACGAACCCACCAGAAGGAAGAAACTCTGGACACATCTGAACATCTGAAGGAACAAACTCTGGACACACCATCTTTAAGAACTATAACACTCACCGCGAGGGTCTGTCGCTTCATTCTTGAAATCGGCTAGACCAAGAACCCACCAATTCCAGACACAAAATCATGAGTGAACTCCCATTCACAATTGCTACAAAGAGAATAAAATACCTAGGAATCCAACTTACAAGGGATGTGAAGGACCTCTTTAAGGAGAACTACAAACCACTGTTCCACTGGTCAAGGAAATAAGATAGGACACAAACAAATGGAAAAACATTCCATGCTTATGGATAGGAAGAATCAATATTGTGGAAATGGCCATACTGCCCAATGTAATTTATAGATTCAATGCTATCCCCATCAAGCTACTATTGACTTTCTTCACAGAATTAGAAACAACTACTTTAGATTTCATATGGAACCAGAAAAGAGCCCGTATAGCCAAGACAATCCTAAGCAAAAAGGACAAAGCTGGAGGCATCATGCTACCTGACTTCAAACTATGCTACAAGGCTACAGTAACCAAAACAGCATGGTACTGGTACCAAAACAGATATGTAGACCAATGGAACAGAACAGAGGCCTCAGAAATAACGCCACACAACTGCAACCATCTGATCTTTGACAAACCTGACAAAAAATAAGCAATGGGGAAAGGATTCCCTATTTAATAAATTGTGTTGGAAAAACTGGCTAGCCATATGCAGAAAACTGAAACCGGACCCCTTCCTTACACCTCATACAAAAATTAACTCAAGATGGATTAATGGCTTAAACATAAGACCTAAAACCATAAAAACCCTAGAAGAAAACCTAGGCAATACTATTCAGGACATAGGCATAGGCAAAGACTTCATGACTAAAATACCAAAAGCAATGGCAACAAAAGCCAAAATTGACAATTGGGATCTAATTAAACTAAAGAGCTTCTGCATAGCAAAAGAGACTATCATCAGAGTGAACAGGCAACCTACAGAATGGGAGAAAAATTTTGCAATCTATCCATCTGATAAAAGGCTAATATCCAGAATCTACGAAGAACTTAAAGAAATGTACAAGAAAAAAACAACCCCATCAAAAAGTGGGCAAAGGATATGAACAGACACTTCTCAAAAGAAGACATTTATGCAGCCAACAAACATATGAAATAAAGCTCATCATCACTGCTCACTAGAGAAATGCAAATTAAAACCACAACAATGAGATACCATGCCAGTTAGAATGGCGATCATTAAAAAGTCAAGAAATAACAGATGCTGGAGAGGATGTGGAGAAATATGAATGCTTTTACACTGTCGGTGGGAGCATAAATTCATTCAACCATTGTGGAAGACAGTGTGGTGATTCCTCAAGGATCTAGAACCAGAAATACCATTTGACCTAGCAATCCCATTACTGGGTATATGCCCCAAGGATTATAAATCATTCTACTATAAAAACACATGCACATGTATTGCAGCACTGTTCACAATAGCAAAGACTTGGAACCAACCCAAATGCCCATCAGTGATAGACTGGATAAAGAAAATGTGGCACATATACACCATGGAATACTATGCAGCCATAAAAACGGATGAGTTCATGTCCTTTGCAGGGACATGGATGAAGCTGGAAACCATTATTGTTAGCAAACTAACACAGGAACAGAAAACCAAATACCGCATGTTCTCACTCATAAGTGAGAGTTGAACAATGAGAACATATGGACACAGGGAGGGGAACATCACACACCAGGGCCTGTTGGGGGGTGGGGGCTAGGGTAGGGTTAGCATTAGGAGAAATATCTAATGTAGATGATGGGTTGATGGGTGCAGCAAACCACCATGGCACTGTATACCTATGTAACAAACCTGCACATTATGCACGTGTCCCAGAACTTAAAGTAAAATTTTAAAAAATTATATATACATATTTATAGTATATGGCATGCCGTTTTGATATACAAATTATATATACATTAAATATATACATTATATATGTGTGTGTATATACACACACACACACCCCTTGTGAAATTATTAAATCAAGCTGGTTGACATATCCATCACCTTACATACATATCATTATTTTGGTGTGGTGAGAACATTTAAAAATCTATTCTCTTAGCAATTTTCAAGTATATAATAAGTTATTATTAGCTACAGTAGCCTTGCTGTACAATAGATTTCCGGAACTTATTCATCTTGTCTAATTGAAGCTTTGTACCCCTTGACCAACATCTCCCCTTCTCTCCCCTACCTGCCCCCCGACCCTCACAACCACCATTCTACTCTCTGCTTCTATAAGTTCAGTTACTTTAATGAATATTAAGCCCCAGGACATTACTGCACACTACTGTAGACTTTACAAACACTATACACTTAGGCTGGCTACACTAAATTTATAAAAAGTTTTCTTTCAATTATAAACTTAGCTTACTGTAACTTTTTTATTTTATAAATTTTTAATTTTTTTGACTTTTGATTCTTTTGTAATAATACTTAGCTTAAAACACAAGCACATTGTATAGCTGTACAAAAATACTTTCTCATATATCCTTATTCTGTAAACTTTTTTTCTATTTACATTTTATTTTTAACTTTCAATTTTTTTTATTGAAAACTAAGACTCAAACACACACAAATTAGCCTAGGCTTACACAGGGTCAGGATAATCAATATCACTGTCTCCCAACTCTGCAAATTGCCCCACTGGAAGTTCTTCAAGGGCAATAACATGCATGGAGCTGTTATCTCCTGTGATGACAACGCTTGCTTCTGGAATACCTCCTGAAGGACATGCCTGAGGCTGTTTTACAATTAATTTTAAAAAATAAGTAGAAGTAAACCCCAAATAACAATAAATAGTATAGTAAATACATAAACCAGTAATGCAGTCATTTATTATTGAGCATTATGTACTGTACATAATTGCATGTGCTAGACTTTTGTTATGATGGACAGAACAGTAGGTTTGTTAACATCAGCATCACCATAAACATGTAAGTAATGCATTGCACTACAATATTGAGACAGCTATGATGTCACTAGGTGATACAAAATTATCAGCTCCACAATAATCTTATGCATCCACTGTCATATAAAACAGTCTGTCATTGACCAAAATGTCATAATGTGGCAAATGACTGTGCATCACATTGTCTGTACTCATTCATCCATTAGTGGACACTTTGGTTGATTCCATATCTCAGCTAGTGTGAATAATGTATTGAACATGGGCGTTCAGATATCTCTTTGAGATACTGATTTTATTTCCTTTGGCTATATGCCCAGTAATGGGATTTCTGGATCATGTGATGGCTCTATTTGCAATCTTTTGAGGAAACTTCACATTATTTTCCATAATGGCTGTAGTAATTTACATTCCCACCAATGTGTGCATAGGTTCCCTTCTGCCACATCCTCGCCAATACTTACTATGTTTAGTCTTTTTGATAATGGCCATTTTAATGAGTGTGAGGTGATATTGTGGTTTAATTTGCTTTTCCCTGATGACTTGTGATGTTGGGCATTTTTCCATGTACCTGTCGGTAATTTGTATTAGACAAAACATACTTTAAATCAAAACTTTTACAATAGAAATAGAGGACATTATATATTAATAAAAGGGCCAATTCATACATAAGATATAACAATTATAAATATATACACACCAAATAATGGGGTCCTAAAACATATGAGGCAAACAATGAATGAACTGAAGTAAGAAATAGACAGTTCTACAATAACAGTTGCTGATTTCAACATTCCACCTTCAGTGATGGGTAGAACAGCCAGACAGAAGGTCAATAAAGAAATAGAGGACTTGAACAACATTAAAAACCAGCTAGACCTAACAGACCTCTCTAGAACGTGCCACCCAACAACTTCAGAATACACATTTTTTCAAGTGCACATGGAACATTTTCCAGAATGAGGCATGTTAGGCTACAAAAGAAGTTTGAACAAATTCATAAAGATTGAAATTATATGAATTATATTCTCCAAACGCAATGAAAGGAGGTAGGAATCAATACCAGAAGCAAAACTAGTTAATTAAAAAAGCATGCAGACATTAAACAATACACTCTTAAACAACCGATGGGTCAAAGAAAAAAAATTATAAGGGAAATAAGTCATTCTGGGAATGAATGAAAATGAAAACATAAAATACCAAAACATATGGAATGCTTATGGAACAACTGTGAGTATGCTCAACAGAGGGAGTATAGGTGGTGCACGAGCATGCAGGATGGGAAAGAAAGTGTGTACATATTTCCATAGATGCTGTGCGTGACTCCACATTTCTCTGTTGAGAGAATGCACCAGAATACATGTGTCTCAGCAGGTGGGGAAAAGGGCCAAGAGAAGGGCATCTGTAGGCTCACTTGTGATAAAAGAGTGTGTGTGTGTTGGCCGTGGGGCAGAGCGTGGACGAGAGAGACCGAGATGAGGTATAAGAGTGTGTGTGAGAGAGGCTGGAGGAGAGAGTGTGAAAGTGTATACAAGACCCTGTGACAAAGGGTGTGAGTGTGTGCGTGTGTGTGTTAGAAAAAGAGTGGGTATGTCTCTTTAAGGGAGAAAAGGCTAGAGACAAAGGAAATGTGTTTTTGAGAAAGTGAATTCCTTTATTTAATAGTTGTGTGTGTCACAGAGGAAGAGGTCTCCCATGGGAAGGGATCCCAGCCATGTCCCATCAAACCTAACCTGCTCCTGCCCTGACCCCAAACCCCAGCCCCCAGGGCCCCATCTGCCCCATCGGCCTCTCTGGCTGTACCATAGACCTCAAAGTCAAGAAAAGGTCTTTTCGGCTTCCTTCCCTAGAGCCCTAGAGCTGTGCTACACCATTTGGTAACAATTAGTTGCATGTAGTTTGTTAAATGAAAATGAATTAAGATTAGAAATTCAGTCCTTAATTATGCTAAGGGAACTAGGACAGATGCAGAAAGAAAAAAATATTGCATGATCTCACATGTGAAATCTAAAAACGCAAAAGTCAGTTATACAGAAATAGTGAATAAAACAGGGCTGATGGGCCGGAGGTGGGGAGAGGGAATGGAGAGACGTAGGTCACAGGATGCAAAGTAGCAGCTATGGATGACGAATAAGTCTAGAGATCTAATGCACAGCAAGAGCACTACAGGGAATATGAGACGAACAAGTCTAGAGATCTAATGCACAACAGGAGTACTACAGGGAATACGACTGCACACATTTGAGATGCCTGCTAACTCTTAGCTGCTCTTGCCACAACCCACACCCACCACCAAAAAAAAAAGGTGGTAACTGTAAGATGACAGATACTTTAATTTGCTTCACTATAGTAACATTTCACTAGATGTATCCCATAACATAATTTAAATATACATGATAGCATTTATTTAAAAAACTTCAGCTCCTCATCTGCACTATCCACATTTCAAGTGCTGAACCGAGATGTGTAGCTGTTTACATCAGTTTGTGCAGCACAGAGAACGTTTCCATATTTCTCAACATTAGAGTTGATACCCTGTCAGAGACCTTTGATTCTCTGTTAAAAAAAATTAAATTAAAATCCCTGATGCTCTCCACCCCACCCCACACATACCCCACTTCAGCAGAGGAGCTCCAGAGACCTTCAGCATCAGAGCCAGGGCTGGAATCCTGTTGGTTGGGGGCATTTTTCTGACTTCAGCTCCTCTGGACAAAGATGCTCCATTCAGACACACACACACACACACACACACACACACACACACACCCCTCCCCTTCATTCCAGATGTGGTCCAGAGCTGTCCACGCACAGTCTGATGACGCAGATCTCAAGAGATGTTTTCTATTAAAACAGCGAATGAAAGAAAGAATGGAAAAAATAGGGTAATTACACGTATTCATTCATTCACCTTGAGATCAGCATCCATTTGTGGCAGGGTGATTGCCAGTGAGGTAGGCATCTTGGGGCCCCATCTTTTAATATATAATAGGGAAAACATGCCATTACTTGCCAGCTCCTATTGAGAGCAACTGTGGTCAGAACCCTCCAGAAAGAGGAAGAGGAGATGCGGGGTCCTTGGTGCAGTAACATGCTTCTTAGATACTAAGAGAAAAGAAAGAAGAAGCTGAGGAAATGATACAGTTTCTAGGCCCTTACTGACATGGTGACTTTTCTCTGGGTACTTATCTTGTCTCTTCCAATTTCAATCACCTCTTAAAGGCCCCACCTCTCAATACTGCCACACTGGAGATTAAGTCCGCACGTGAAATATGGGGGACACATTCACACAATCAGTACATAGTATTCATTTGAACTATAAATATGCAAAATAAATATAGTAATTTCAGTTTTCATTTGAAAGATAAAGAATGATCTCTTTTTTTTTCTTTTGCTTTCACAGAGGAAGGCATTGCAACAAAAAAGAAGCCTTAAAAGGAAATCCATGGCTGGGTAGGGTAGCTCACGCCTGTAATCCCAGCATTTTGGGAGGCTGAGGAAGGCGGATCACGAGGTCAGGAGATCAAGACCATCCTGGCCAACATGGTGAAGCCCTGTCTCTACTAAAAATACAAAAATTAGCTGGTTGTGGTGGCACATGCCTGTAGTCCCAGCTACTTGGGAGTCTGAGGCAGGAGAATTGCTTGAACCTGGGAGGTGGAGGCTGCAGTGAGCTGAGATCACACCACTGCACTCCAGCCTGGGCACCAGAGCAAGATTGTCTCAAAAAAAAAAAAAAAAAAGAAAACAAAACAAAATCCATCACAAAGGGAGGAATAAAACCAGAGTGTCACCTACACTTAAAGCAGTAAGTAAAACTGCTGCATTAAACAAAACAAAACATCAAAAAACCTTAAAAAAATTAGAGTAAAATCTTCAAGACGCTTTCATGTCATGGGCCATGGGGTCTTCCCACATGGCCTTAAGTGCTTTTGGAAGAGTGATCTCTAAAAACAGAATAAAAACAAGAAGAAGTGGTTATTAAGAAACAAAGGCAGCAGCGCAGTTTCTCAGTGGGGAGCACCTTGGAAACCCATGGGGAGTGTGTGCTTGTCACAGGGATTGGGGCCACTGTTGGCATTGAGATGCTGTAGGTAGCAGGCACTAGAAGTCCTGAAAAGTGTGAGGAGTTCCAGGGATCAGCAAATTTCTTCTTCTTCTTCTTCTTTTTTTTTTAAATTTGAGACAGGGTCTCACTCTGTCACCTAGGCTAGAGTGCAGTGGTGCAAACGCAGCTCACTGCAGCCTCAACCGCCAGGGCTCAAGTGATCCTCCCAAGTAGCTGGGACCACAGACACCTGGCTAATTTAAATAAATTTTTGTAATGACAAGGTTTCATCATGTTGCCCAGGCTAGCCTCAAACTCCTGGGATCAAGTGATCCTCCCAACTCGGCCTCCCAAAATGCTGGGATTACAGGCTTGAGCCACCAGACTGTAAATATTTTAGGCTGTGGAAGGTACTGTAAGTTCTCTGTCACAACCACCTTAATGTTGTCACTGTGGCATGGAGCAGCCCTAGGAAACCCACCAATAAAACTTATTTACCAAAACAGGCAGCCTATCAATGAGTCATATTTGCAGACCTGAGTCTGGGCATTCTGCGATGCGCTGTGTCGGTTTCGCTTCAGCATGGCAAGAGGCACATGACAAAAACTGGCATGAAAGGAGCTGTTGGAATCAAGGGGCAGGAAAGGACTTCCCTAGAGGATCAGCTAGAAGACGGACGGACATTCTGGGAAGAGAGCAGACACATTCTGGAGGAAATAAAGGATTTTCGTTTTAAGGGGATAGGAGGCAAGGGAAGAAGCTGAGAGGGTCTGTGGGTCTGAAATGGGGTCTCTAGGTAGGAAAATGCGTGAGACAAATGCAAGGCTGAGAGCAGGAGACGGGGGTCCGCTGCACCGAGTGTGCACAGTTGCAAGCACCGCAGGGGCATCTGCGGCTGTGGGTGGAGAGAAAATCCTGGAGCACACATCTGAGAGGGGAGGTATGGGTGGGAGTGGCAGGGTGTGTAAGAGAGCATGGGTGACAGGTGAGGGGCTCATGTGTGCAACTGTGCATTCTGCGAGTGAGAAGGTCTCGGACTGAGGAACTGCATTCAGTGCTCAGGGGTGAGAGTCCCCACGCAAGAACCTGGGGTGTCAACCAAAAAGACCCACACCCAGGCAGGGCCCTGCGACCTCTGGCGCCACGTGCTGGTTGACAGATTCCACTACCTGAGAAAGGTCCCTCCAGTCCCCTCATTGATCAGCTGTAGATCATAAACGGAGCCACAACCCAGGAGCCCCTCCCGCCAACTCACGTCAGCAGAAAAGCCTTGTGGGTGGGCGTGTGTCCACTTCTGCTCCTCTGGACAAAGATGCCCACGTCGGAAACGCCCATCTGACGCTCCCACCACTCCGATACAGCCCCACCTGCACAGCTCAGAGCACGACCACTGACCTTCTCTGTAGCCCTTGGGATATATTTGCTATTGAAAGAACAAAATAAAGTATGTTTATCAAGATTAAATAAGCAAGTCATTAATGGAGGAATTCATTCATTTAACATTCAATTACGGAGGGCTCACTGCAAACCAGGTTCTCAGTATTTTGAGGGCCTAGTAGGAGGAAACTCTTTAAATGTCAGCTTCTACTGAGAAATGTTGTGGATAGAATATGCTGGAAAAAAAAAAAGAAATGTAGAGATTCTGGGTTTGGTGCTACTGTGTATTTATCTGATACTGTAAAGAAATAAAGATGCAGAATAAATAGAATTTTATTTCAGCCCCTACCCATGTGGTGTGCTGCGTTCAAGGTGGTTTACTTAGATTGTCTCCATTTTGACGAATGAGGAAATTGAGGAGAGAGCTAACACTCTCTGTTTTTTTTTTTTTTTTTTTTTTTTTGACGGAGTCTCGCTCTGTTGCCCAGGCTGGAGTGCAGTGGCACGATTTTGGCTCACTGCAGTCCCCGCCTCCCGGGTTCAAGCAATTCTCCTGCCTCAGCCTCCTGAGTAGCTGGGACTACAGGCACGCGCTGCCATGCCCGGCTAATATTTTTTCTATTTTTGGTAGAGATGGGGTTTCACCATGTTGGCCAGGATGGTCTTGATCTCCTGACCTCGTGATCCACCTGCCTCGACCTCCCAAAGTGCTGGGATTACAGGCATGAGCCACCACTCCTGGTGACTCCCTCTATTTTTTAAGCCTTCCGCTGAATTAGAACCGTGACATTTTGCTTTTTTTTTAAAAGAAATGGAGTGATGGCTCAGAGATGAAATAATCAAATCCATGATTAAATGTAAAGTAAGTAAAATGGAGGGTCTAGCAAACCGATAAATAAATGGTCACTGAGTTGGGCTATGGAAAACCAAGATCTGGAAGATGGAGGGGTCTGCCACCCTCATCTGGTAAACTGGAACCCTTTCTCTGCCTTTCATTTATCTGGGACCCTGAACTGTCCTTCAGCCAGGCTCCCCATACCCTTGGAGGTGCCTAGGTTGGGGGCGGGGGAGCTGTGTCCAAACATCCAGACCAGGGCTGCTGAGGCCCCTCCCCAGGGACTAGAGCAGGAAGGGTTTCTTGGAAGCCCTAGTGTAAGGAACTTACACTGTGCTTTTGGCCGCCCGGGAACCACACCTCCTTTATCTGGTGGCAGCCCCACATTCCATCTGAGGAATGACCTGACTCCACCCAGTCCAGTCCTGGCTTGGTGCCAGGGGAAGGGGCTGCCAGCCAGGGTTGCTGCCCTTCTCTGGGTGACCCGTGAGATGCCTTCTGGGGTATTTAATCTTGGGACAACTCAAGATGGAGTTCCAGAGTCCCTGATTCCTGACCTCTTCCAACTGGGAGCCTCTGCCAGATTTTCTGTCCATCATATTCCTCGTCAACCTCTCCAAACATCCCTAATCTGCAGAAGGTAGCTGGTTGGTTCTGAAGGTTGGAACTCAGCAACGCTTTCTGCCATTGAAAGATCTAGACGCATCTCACAGCAGGTAATGGCACAGCTAACCTTGCCACTCACCTCTTGGGTATTGGCTTTTCCTAAACATCTACACGGAGGCAGCTGTCCCCAAGGCTGATTTCCAGGACCAGGAATCATAGACCCTCACATCAGCAGTATATAATCCTACTACAGTTAAAATATTAGGATTAAAAAAAGGAGAAAATGTGGAAGAAATGATATTTATTTCATATTAAATTGAACCATAATTATTATATTCATTTATTTATTTATTTGGTCAAAACCATATATTTTGGATCCATACTCAGGGTTGCAGTCCCAGTTCTCAATTCCACATTGTACCATGGTTGGTAAGTTAAACACAAGAATGGGCATCTTAAGGCAAGTTGAAGAACACGGGAATATAAGTAAATTAATAACCGGTTCTTTTAGAAGTGATCAGAAATTCTCTCTGGGAGAACCAGCTTTGTCTCAGTACTTATGGAAATATTCCTATAGGGAGAAACAACTCCGTGGGGGCTTAGTTTAGCGGGTTTTCTCCAGGTCAATCAGGCTTCAAGGTTTCAAGGCAGAAGGAAGGGGGTAGTGTAGACGCGTGGAGGCTACTGAAAATGTTGGCTGCAAATTGACCCAGGAATTTAAACCATGGTGATTTCCATTAACCTCCTAAGGAAGAGGGAGGAAAATCTCAGGTCTCGAGAGATGTAAATGTCATGAAAACTGAGCATGGACGGCGTCGTGTTGGTCCTGGCTCAGTGGTGGGTGTTTCAGGAAGGGGTGGACCTGTACCAGCACCGGGGCGCCCCAGATCCCTTTTTGAATCTCAACTCAGTGCCTCCTGGGGGTGGCTGCAGGTTTTATTTGTATCCTAAATGAGTGGCATGTTAACAGGGTCTGCAACTGTCACTAAGTAAAACCTCCACAGGATCTTAGGCACAAACCATTCAAATCATAGTGGAAAGGTCGCCCAGTAATTTCTTTTTCTTTTTCTTTCTTTTTTTTTTTTTCTGGAGACAGGGTCTTGCTCTGTCACCCAGGCTGGAGTGCAGTGGTGGGATCTCAGCTCACTGCAACCTCTGCCTCCTGGGTTCAAGCGATTCTCCTGCCTCAGCCTCCTGAGTAACTGGGATGACAGGCATCTGCCACCACACCTGGCTAATTTTTGCATGTTTAGTAGAGATGGGGGTTTCACCATGTTGCCCAGGCTGGTCTTGAACTCCTGACCTCAAGTGATCTGCCTACCTCAATCTCCCAAAGTGCTGGGATTACTTGCTTGTGCCACTGTGTCTGGCCCAGGCCAGAAATTTCTAAATAAATAAAATATAACTGCAACTTGTGAATTATCCATATGACCTCCTCATCTCTATGAATCTCAAAACTATTTAAAATTAGCTTCATTACTTTTGACCATTAACTATTTTACATTTAATTGAGAGACAAAACAAGTCAACAGTAACGTTTCTTCTTTCTTATCACTGTTTGGCAATAATACCAAGGAGAAAAATCTTGCTCATAAGATGGGAATAAAACATGGCCAAATTCTGTCTCCCCTTTGTTTATTTATTCTAATTTCTTTATTAGCACATAATTATCAACACGTTTAGGGGGTTTCGATACATATGATGTGTGGTGATCAGATCAGGGTAATTAACACATTCATCATCTCAAACGTTTATCATTTCTTTATGCTGGGAACATTCAATATCCTCCTTCCAGCTATTTGAAACTATATAATATGTTCTTGTGAACTATAGTCATCCTACAGTGGTATACATCACTAGAACTTATTCCTCCTGTCATGGTCACTGTAACTTTGTATCTTCTGGCAAATCTCTCCTTATTCCTCTTTTCTCTTACTTTAGAACATAGTACGGCCTAATAATTGCTTAGCAAACATTCTGCTTATCCATCTTCCTGGACCTGTTTCTAAGTGCTTTAGCTAAAATAAGTGAGAATTTATATCATGAATTAGTTCAGGGTGAATATTCACAACACTGAAAGTTTTAAATGATAGAGAAGCCATCAATATTAATTAAATTAAACTGAGAGGTTTTTTTTAAACTTGCCATTGTATTGACTGAAGATTAAACATGAAATCTTTACACACACATGTATGACTATAATATATTGTATAATATATATAGTACCTATATATACATACTTATATAAAATGTACTAATATAAGTAATATGTAAATATAATATAGCATAATATACAATTATGTAATATATAATATATATAATAATACATAATCTAAGTAATAATGAAGTAGAATATCTAGATTTAATTTATTTATATAAACCTTCTCCTAGAAGTAAAAGCATCCTTAATAAACAGTAGCCAAAGCAATGGGCTGTGAGATTTGCAAACACTCAAGAAAAGAAATGCCTTTTTAAATGTGAAGTTCAATATCATGTAAAATTGTAACACAATTTGGAAATTTTGTTTCTTAATAATATTTAAGTAATAAATTGGAAAGATCAACTATGGGCTATTGTAAAGCCATTGTTGTCTAAAGTGACTCTTAAGTGAAAATGACATCAATATCCCCTTAAATCACAAAATTAGTGAGAAAAAGTAGTAACCAAAATCTGAAAGTGTGACCCAGCTGCTGTTGCACGTCTCCTGTCCCTGATCGCACCTTACAGCGCATCACTGGCCTGATCACTGCTGGCTCTGGGCAGGTGAGACCTGACAGGGCCTCACCCTTGGACTCCATCAACCCTTAGTGGGTGTTGGAGAATCATGGACATTCACCCACAATCTTCTTTTTTTTTTTTGAGATGGAGTCCCACTGTCTCACCCAGGCTGGAGTGCAGTGGAGTGCAGATCTTGGCTCACTGCAACCTCTGCCTCCTGGCTCCTGGGTTCAAGAGATTCTCCTGCCTCAGTCTTCCGAGTAGCTAGGACTACAAGCACATGCCACCACACCTGGCTAATTTTTGTATTTTTAGTAGAGACAGGGTTTCACCATGTTGGCCAGGATAGGCCAGAACTCCTAACCTCAAGTGATCCACCTGCATGGGCCTCCCAAAGTGCTGAGATTACAGGCGTGAGCCACCCCACCCAGCCTCATCCACAAACTTATGTGTGCCAATTCCCTGAATGTTCCGTGCTCTACTTCCGTAACTGGAGCCAGCCTCTCCAGGGGTCACGCTGCTGCCTGGACAGACGCCTTAGGTGGGGTCTGTTCCTCCCATCACCATTGGCTTTGTGGATTCATTCCTTCTCGTGAGAGCTGCCAGCGCTTTGCCATCATTGCTCTAGGGTGTCAGCTCCTAGTTTTCTGCTTTTTTACCAAACCATGACCATCTCAATGCTGGGTGCACCACCGGGCATCTTCTGCAACACGACATTCTCATTCCCCTGCTGGGACTACTGCAGATAAATACATTATGCTGCAGGTTATAGAATATTGTTTTCTTGACATCTAGTGGGAATCTTGAGCATTTGCTCATTAACGTGGTCATCAGGACTCCCAAATTCCCTACAAGGTAAATGTACAGGATCAATAAATAGCCTAAGTCGTTTCATGCCTCCTGTGATAGCCACCGGCCCTTCTTTCTGCTCAGAAATGGGCCTGGCTGGCTGACAAAATCCTACGTAAACTCAAAGCCCAACTAAGTGGCTGCTTCCTATATAAGCTTTTTTATAGCTCAAGATAAATTGTTTCCACCATTTTTTGTTCTGTCATGAGAAATTACACACCGATCTCACAGAATCCTACTCGCAAGTTTTAGTTTGAATTGTGTCTTTTTCAGTTTTTTTTTCCCCCTTAGAGAATATAGGAGGGCTGGACCCTGTCTTTATATTTGGGTGAGGAATGACCTAGAATCCAGCAAAACATAAACTACAAAATGATCACTTTATAAACAAAATCCAACTTGATCCAATCATTGGACATCAATCCTACATCTTATTTCCCGAGACTTCATTTCCTTTGTCTAGACACTGAATCACTGAGGCTCATCTCATCCTATTATAAATCATATTTGAGTAGTTCCAAAATTAGGTATTTTCAAAAATATATACAAAGAATGAAAGAATATTCATTTAATATGTGATACACTTTTAGTGGGGGAAATAGTAAGATTATATTTATTGAAGTTATTTAAAACTTGAGTCTGGGCACAGTGGCTCATGCTTGTAATCCCAGCACTTTGGGAGGCCGAGGCTGGTGGATCATATGAGGCCAGGTGTTCAAGACCAGCCTGAGCAACATGGTAAAACCCCGATCTACCAAAAATGCAAAAATTAGCCAAGCGTGGTAGTGCACGCCTGTAATCCCAGCTTCTTGGGAGGCTGAGGCATGAGAATTGCTTGAACTGAGAGGCAGAGGTTACCGTGAGCTGAGATGGTGCCACTGCACTCCAGTCCCTGGGCGATAGAGCGACACTTTGTTTAAAAAAAAAATAGTTATCTAAAAGTTGAAAATGAAGCTGTTCTTCTATAAATTAAGTAGACATTAATCACTTAAATTAACCTAGCCTCTTCCATGATATCTGTAGATTCATTATTCCTTTTGCTCAAGATCTGAGTCTCTCTGAGTCATCTGATGCCATGAGGAATCATATTTAAAGAGGACCAGAACTAGGCCTCTCTTTAAAAAAGTATATAGAAAGAGAAAAGTTATTTAATCTGTGATAAAATGTGAGATGGGAAAAATAGCAAGATGATATTAGAATCATTTGAATTTTGAAACGAAACTACAAATATCTCAGTAGGGGATTTTTATACACAGAAGGGGATTAAAAAGAAAAGACTCAAGGCTGGTTCAAGGGAAAGAAAAGTACGATTTACTTCACTGTTAATGATTTCTACTTGAAAACATAAGCAGCAGAGAAAACATTCCCCGTTCTTCAACTCTGGCTTGTATCCTAACACTATGAAGTGCCTAATACCCAGAGTTTAATGGTCATTTTTCACAATTTAAATTATTCCTACTATTTATCAAAAATTTTTAGGATAAAAGATGAACAATTTACTTCCAAAGATGGAAGTAAATAAAAACTCTCTAAAATTTTCTCATTGAGATGCATGCACCTATTACCTTTGAGTCTGATGTATATAAATTTATAGAACTTTGTAAAATTGCAAATGCAATCACACTGATAATCTATTTTAGGATTCTAAGCAAAGCTTGATGTGTATAGTATATATCAGCAAAACCATTGCTACTAAAAAATGCTGGAATAATCCCTAAAATAGGCTTATAATATTAGTAGGTTAGGTCTAATCTAATCTAAAGTGATGGCAATTTAATCTTATCTTCTTTTTCAAGGTAAATATTATCAGGATGAAGGGTTTTACTAAGAATATTGTGGACTGCAGATTTATCACCAATAAAAACCTCATTCCCGATATAATTAAATAAACGCCTGATTAGGTTAGAGGGGGTGGCAGGGTGTGATCATGGAGGATTAGAGGGAGTGGAAGGGTGTGATCATGGAGGGTTGGGCAATCTTGCCAATAAAAGGCTCTCCTATGCCCTTTCCCCACCATACCTGAGCTCTTGGTGGAAGAGGATGGCGTACAAAGATTTCAGCGGAAGAGGTGAGTCCACATCTGTGTGCTTTGCTTTTCCTTCTCAGATGTCTAGAATTGGGGTTATAACATAGGGGGATGAATGAAAGAAATTAGTAATTAATGCTTTCAACAAAGGCTGTCTGAGTGCTGCCTCGGAGTTGAAATCAGTCACCCTGGATCCCCTCACTGTAGGAGTGGTGGCAGTCAGTTTGGTATTCAGTCCCAAGGCTGCAGGAAGGATGTAGTTCTTATTCTCATTAATGAATCTCTTGCTTGGGCTCCCCTCAGAGGAGAGGAAATGACCCCAGCTCGTTGCTCCTCACATGGGTGCCGCTGTGTCATGGGCTCAGGCTCATCTGCTGGCACAGCTGCTGGGTCACCAGGAGAATCGACTCTTCCTCCAACTCAGCTCAAAGCACAGGGACCATTTGGGACTTGTCTTCCCCAATAGAACTTCAAATCTCTGAAGACATGGGCATGTGCTGGAGTGTTTGTACTCACGGTCTTGTTCTAAGGACTATAAAGCTGGAGCAGAGTAACTCTATGCATGGAAAGGTTGTCACTTGTCACACACTAAGAGGCTGTCATTTCATGAAAATTCACTTCCCTGTGTATTTTTTTTTGCCTGGCAGTGACCACAGATGAACTCTTAAAAGAAGCAACCAGATGTCCCATCTGCACAGTTTACTTAGAAAAGCCAATGTCCTTGGAGTGTGAATGTGTCTTCTGCCTCAGCTGCACCAATTCACTGCAGAAGGAGCCCCAAGGGGAAGGTGTCTTGTGTCCCTTCTGCCTGGAGGCTTCTCAGAAAAACAACATCAGGCTCAATCGGCAGCTGGGGAGGCTGGTTTCGCACATTAAGGAACTGGAGCCCAAGCTGAAAAAGATTCTGAAGATGAACCCAAGGATGCGGAAGTTCCAAGGTAAGGAATCTGTATACCCTGCCCCTTCCCACTACCAAAAGAGGAAAAAGTATTCGTGCAATTGGCTCTCCGTACCATAGGGTAATTAGCTGATGTCTGGCACCTGAAACTGAAATGTTCCTCTGGCATCAGTGATTCTCAGCCCTGACAACATGTAGAAACACCTGGTTTTATTTTTTGATCTCCAGCAAAATATACCCGTGTCTATGTCGTGGCTTAGACAAGGGATTCTCAAAACTTAAAAGAAATGTGTACACATTTATGAGATACATGTGCAATTTGGTTACATGCATTGATTACACAGTGGTCAAGTGAGGGCTTTTAAGGTATCCATCATTCAAATAATGTACATTGGACTTGAAGGATAACAGGTTCTATAGATTTTTTTTTCCAGAATGGTCTAGACAATAAATTTTCCTAGGCCAGATCCCACCCCTTCCTTTCTTCCTCTTCCACTAAAGTTGGTGACTTCGCTTTTCAACCGCATACACAATGTTGTAAAATGCTCATTCTAATAATTTTTAAATACCTTTTATCTCATCTCTTAAATTTAAGCCCATTAATATTGTCTTGCTTAAGGCCTCAACTTCCCCATAGGATGAAGAGCATCCTTCCGTCTAGGTCCTTATCTTCCTCTTGGCCTTAGATTCTCTTAAGTCCAGGCATGGGACCTCTGTCATCACATTATCAGCTGCAGAGATATCCCGTCTCCTGTCAAAACTGAACAAAATTAATTGGTTACAAATACGGAGAACAAAAGCCTGGATTCATGCCCTAGACACTATTTAAATTGGACCAATAAAATGTGAAAAAAGAAACATATCATTTAATATTGCTAACTTGCATTGTCTTAACTATCAGTCATTTTTCACTCATCAGTATTGTAGAAAGAGGGTCATGGTGTCTGTCTTGAGACCCTCCCCTTTAAGCAGAAGAAATACATGACATAAACAAACACATGACATAATGTAAAATAAAAACTTCTACTATGAATAAGAGCCACATATTACAACAAGTATATCTGAGAATTTCAACTATTCAGAGAAGTTGCCTCGAGAAAAGCTCTGACTTCAGGAAAAAAAGCAGATTGACAGAAACCAAAGTCAATGAGATATTTGGGACTTTGCAGTAGAGGAGTGAAATGGGCTTGGCTTCTGTGCATTTGCTGAGCTACTTGTTTTTGTTTTCGCAGTGGAGGTGACCTTGGATGTTGACATGGCTCACAACCTCCTCCTCATTTCTGAAGACCTCAGGAGCGTCCGATGTGGGAGGATCCATCAGAATCGGCCAAACAGTGCTGAGAGATTCAACTTCGCAGGTGCTGTCCTGGGCTCCCCTGGTTTCACCTCTGGCCGCCACTACTGGGAGGTGGACCTAGGAACAAGCAAATAATGGAATCTGGGAGTCTGCAGAGAATCTGCCAACCGCAAAGGGAACATCCAAATGACCACAGAGGATGGATTCTGGATTGTGAGTTTGATGGCTGGGGGCTTCCACTTTGCTAACACAAGCCCTCCAACACCCCTCTGGGTGAACCCCAATTTAGAGCGAGTGGGGATATTTTTGGATAGAGGCATGGGAGACATCTCCTTTTACCACCTTGGAGATGGATCCCACATCTATACATTCACGAAAGTTTTTCCTGAAGAGCCACTGCGCCCATATTTTGCTCCTTCCACTCTCCCAGAGCAGGGTATCCTGAGTGTCTGTCCTGTGATAAATCCAGGCACTGCCCATCCTCTAGTCCATCCTGGGGAGGGCAAATAAACCCCCACTGCATAGAAACAGGATCGGGAAATTAAATTACTTGGTGGGTAGACCTAGGAAGTTTCTGTTGGGTATACATATTTTACAAAATCATAGCAGAAAAATATAGACCATTCCATGATGTAGTTAACTTCATAGATTCATTAGAATAGAAGCTGAGTTTTAAATATTGATTATTGTCACCATCAAACGTGTTGAGTTTTGTGTTTATATTTTGTTTCCTAATGATATGTTTTGTATTCTTAATTTCCAAATGCTTTACCTTTTATTTCTGTAAGTTCGGCTTTATGTATTATGGAGTTTATAAGTTAAATAAATATTTGGCTGTAACCAAATGGATTATGTGAGTTTCTAAATAATAGGGGTGCAACACTTTTTATTCATAGTGCAATGTGTGGGTGGGGGGGTGGGCAGGGGTTTGTGTGTGTATTTGAACAAAACAAATGTGGATAAATACCTGTGTCTTATCCAGCACTGAACAACTTTCCACCACCACAGCTCCGTGTAGCTAACATTGTCTTGGACATGAGATTGTCTACATTAACAATGGTAATTCCCCCACTGTAGAATGTACTGCTTTGTCTCGAGTGCACTCCTGGTAATACCTGACTCTGATCAGCCGATCCTTCCTCCTTCCGTTATCCCTGTGGGGTCCTCAGTGCTGTGCTCCTCTGGCTGGCACAGCTCTGGTCACTCTGGAGATGCATGCTGGGGGCCAGGCAGTCATGCTCTTATCACAAGTCAGTTCCCTGCAGGAGGGATCTACTGAAACTAGTGCTGGCTTTTCAAGTGTTCTTTGCATTTTAAACCATTGGCAACCTTTACATACTTTTTTTTTAAGAGCCTCACTCTGTCACCCAGGCTGGAGTGCAGTGGTGTGATGTCAGCTAACTGCAGCCTTGACCTCCCCAGGTGCAGGTGATCCTTCCACCTCCGCCTCCCTCTAGCCCCAGCTGGGACTACAGGTGTGCACCATCATGCCCAGCTAATTTCTCCTTTTTTTTTTTTTAAATAGAAATGGGGTTTCACCATGTTCCCCACGCTGGTCTCAAACTCCTGGGTTCAAGCAATCTGCCCACCTTGACCTCCCCAAATGTTGGGATTACAGGTGTGAGCCACTGCTCCTGGCCTTATATCCCATTTTTAAGAATCATTGAAGATGGTCAAGGGTCTGAGGTGTCAGCATTGTGAGCTGACTTAGAAAAGGCCCTGCCTCCCAGCCACGTGAATGTGCTGGGGATATATGCAATATTCTATGACTGAAAAGTACACTTTCAGCAGAATCAGGAAGATCCCAGTATATGTATACCTGTCCTGACTGGCATAGGTAAGTTTCCCAGACTCTGACTCCAGAATTCATGAAGTTTCAGAAAAACTAGTGGAGGGAAAGGTAGGAGCAGGAGGAAAAGGAAGAAGCCAAGCAAAAGTGAAATTTTTGGTAAAACCCAAGTTTTAAAAATAAAATTTATTATTAATTAATTAATTAATTTTTTTTAGAGACAGGGTCTCACTATGTTGCCCAGGCTGGTCTGGAACTCCCAGTGTCAAGCTATTCTCCCACCTCAGCCTCCCTAGTAGTTGAGGTTATAGGTGCCAGCCACCACATCCTGCCTCAAATATTCTTTAATTTCTCTTGCGACTTCTTTGACCCATGTGTTACTAAATCTCTAAACATTTTCAGAGAAGAGTGTTGTTTAATATTTTTGAAATTTTCTGTCTTTCTGCTAGAGATGGCTATTCTGATCTATTGTGATCTGAAATCATCCTTTGTATGATTTATATTCTTTTCAATATGTGAAGGTGTGTTTTATGGCCCAGAATATGGTCTATATTGAATATTCCTTGAGGGCAGACCGGGCACCGGACCTCAATCTCGGGCGCCATCTTCTGGTTGTTAGAACAAACTGCCCGAGAAAGGCTCCCTCAAATCCCCTCATTGCTGGGTTCCCCACATGGCAAACTGGATGAACACCAAGGAGCTCCTTTTGCTCCATGCAGTTCAACAGAAAAGCCCTGTGGGTGGGCATTTGTCAACTTCTCCTCTGGACAAAGATGCCCCGGTCAGAAACACTCCCTGAGACCCTCCCAGCATCCAGATAGCAGCCCAGGCTGTGACATCTCACCCTCAGGCCAGATCCAAGCAGTGAAATATATAATCTAATTTCTTCCCCAGCCCAGCCCCTTGAGTCCCAGTTTTTCATTCTCCCATTCTCAACTCTCCCACCACTGAATGATCTAAAACCACAGGGAAACCTTTTATTGAATTATATTTTAATAAAGAGAGCCATCTCATTTCATGTAGTTTGTGATATAAGGAAAATAGTAAGATTATAAAAATATCTTTTACTTTTGACATGGTTACTAACAAAGGGAAAGGAAAAAAAAACGCCAGAAACTTGAAAAGCCTGATTATCTGGGGCTATTATTCCTGTTTGTTTTAAAATCAAACTTCTAAACACAGATCTTAATCCCAGCACTTTGGGAGGCTGAGGCGGGCGGATCATGAGGTCAGGAGTTCGAGACCAGCCTGGCCAACATGGTGAAACCCCGTCTTTACTAAAAATACAAAAATTGGCCGGGCATGGTGGTGGGTGTCTGTAGTCCCAGCTACTCAGGAGGCTGAGGCAGGGGAATTGCTTGAACCAAGGAAGCGGATGTTGCAGTGAGCCGAGATCACGCCATTGCTCTCCAGCCTGGGCGACAGAGTGAGACTCCATCTCAAAAAATAAATAAATAAATAAATAAATAAATAAGAAGCATAAAGAAAAAGCCCATTTGAAGAAACCATGGTCTAGTGAGGGTGACTTTAGGAAAGACTTAAGATTAGGTTGAATTAATTTCCTTGGTCTAAAATAAATATGAAGGCTGGGCATAGTAGCTCATGCCTGTAATCCCAGTACTTTGGGAGGCCAAGGCAAGAGGATCACTTGAGGTCAGGATTTGGAGACCAGCTTGGGCAGCATAGTGAGATTTCTGTCTCTAATTAACAAAATAAATAAATTAAATAAATATGAGGTGGTTTTACTTTGTGAGTAAAAAGTACTTGAAACTAGCTCCATTCATTGCATAAGGGCTAATAGTGATGCCTCATATTTGGCTTTGAAAGTTTTCTGGCCAAATTCCAAATTTTGTCATATGCAAACATGATATTCAAAAGCTAATCCAGAAAAAAGGGTATGTCTATATTAATCAAAATACAACCACTTGCAGGATAAATTGCTGTCCTTTGCACGTGGTGCTTCTCTATATCTTCAGTAAAAAACTCATTGATTCCAGATTTAAATCAATAACTGATTGAGTTAAAGAGAAGGGGCAGGATGTGGATAAAGTGGGAGGGAGGACTTTCTATAAAAAAGCCCCTTATAGGTGGGTCCCACTCCACATCTCAGCTCATTTCAGAAGCAGCTGGAGCAAGAGAAGCATCTTGTGGAAGTGAGTCCAGTGTTATTCCTTTCTCACTTCTCAGCTTTCTACAAAAGACAAATATAAGAGAGCAACATCCAGGGAATGAAGTAATTAATGCTGCAAGTATGATCTGAGGCCAACTCAATGCCAGGCACAGTGGGAGCACTTAGGGACACGGGATCCTCTGCCCAGAAGCTGAAGGCAGGACTAGATTCTCAATACACAGGCTGGGAGTCTGACAGATTCTTTCAATCAAATCATAGCTTGGGCTACTCTAGGAGATGATAACTTGAGTTTCCCCCATTGACTTAACCCTTCAGCTGCTGCTATGGGTCTGTGCCCAGCCAGGTGGGACCAGATGAAGAGTTGGAGGGGCTCTGGGTCTAGGCTAGGGATGTCTCAGACAAAATAATGTAATTCATATATGTAGCTATGTATTTCCTGATAGCCAAGTTAAAAAATGTAACAAGAAACAAGATAAATTAATTTTAATATCCAAAGGATTATAATTTTTAACATGTAAATCAATTTTCACCTTATTAATGAAACATTTTTCTGATAATGTCTTCAAAATCCTGGGCAGATTTCACACTCAAAGCATGTCTCACTGTAGATAAGCCTCATTGCAGGTGACAAGAGCCACATGTGGTTGGCAGCTCCTATATTAGACAGTCCAGTTCCATTCCCTTTCACAATCTCAACTCTAAGCCAAGTGACAGATCACACCCTTTATTTCAACTAGAATTTCAAATTCAGAAGACCAGGGCCATTCGCATATGTTTATATATATATATGAAAGAGAGATTCCTTAGCCTTTGCCTTGTGCTAGGGATGGTACATGATATCTCTATGCATGTGAAGATGAAATAGCCCCTGTTCTTTCATCTCCTGGATCTCCATTACTATTATGTATGTTTCACCCTAGCAGCAGCAGCAAAGGCTGCACACTTTCAAGAAGCAAGCAGATGTCCTATCCATCTTGTAATGTGGCTACATCTGCTGCCCCCACTGCTTCAACTTACTGAAGACAGAACCCCAAAAGGAGAGTTTATTGTGCACTTTCTGCTCAATAGTTTCTCAAAAGAATGAGATTAAGACAAATTGCCACCTGGGGAAGCTGATTTCCAAGATCAAAGAACTGGAGCCCAGCTGAAAGCTATTCTATGCCTGAACTCAAGGATGCCGAAGTTCCAAGGTTAGGTATCTGGAGCCCTCCCCATGAAGGCCCCAGAAAAGCCAACGGTGAAAAATGCTCTCCATTAAATATAGGAGTCAGCTGAATTTTGGCACCTAATTTTTTTTTTTTTTTTTTGAGACAGAGTATCGCTCTGTCTCCCAGGCTGGAGTGAAGTGGCCTGATCTCGATCTCGGCTCACTACAACCTCCACCTCCCAGGTTCAAGTGATTCTCTTGCCTCAGCCTCCCGAGTAGCTGGGACTACAGGTGTCTGCCACCACTCCCGGCTAATTTTTGTATTTTTAGTAGAGACAGGGTTTCACCATATTGGCCAGGCTGGTCTCAAACTCCTGACCTTGTGATCCGCCTGCCTTGGCCTCCCAAAGCGCTGGGATTACAGGCGTGAACCACCGTGCCCCGCCAAATGTTGGCACCTAATGTTCTTATGCTCTTTAAGCAACACTAGTTCTCTCTCCTGAGTATGGGTTAGAACCACCTGGATTTTTTGAAGGATGCGTAATGTTTAGGTCATGCCCTATACCTGTGCTGTCCAACATGATAGCCACTGTAACCATTAAGAACTTGAAATGTGGTTACAGCCACATATGGAAAGAGAATATGTTTGATCAAGTTAAATAAAAATATTATTAAAATTAATTCACCTGTTTCTTTTTATGTTTGATAATGTGGCTACTAGAAACTTTAATATTACACATGTGGCTGGCATTATGTTTCTATTGGGAACACTATGCTGTATCATGGCTTTTCAAACTTTTATGCATTAGATTACCTGGGGGACTTGTTAAAATGCAGATTCTGATCCTGCAGCTCTAGGCTGGTCTGCAAATCTAGATTTCTCTCCCAGGTGCCCAGATGATGCTGTTGCAGCTGGTTCCCACACACACCGAATAGCAAGGGCCTGGTATCAGCTGCATCTGAGCTTCTCTCTGGCTGTGAGGCTCATGACTGCAATATTTAGAAGCAGTCTGGTGATTTGTAACAACCCACAATGAGTCTTGGCAACCATTATGATCAATGAATTTATTCCAGGGCTAATGCCTCTCAGCAAACAGTGATAAAAGTGCATGTGGTTATTGATCCTGTACATATAGATTTGGTTGTGAATTCTGGCCCAGAGCACTACATCATGTGCTAACCACATGTAGCAGGCACTAAAGGAAATAATGCTCGATTCAATATCGCAACTTAACTCGGAGTAATTTTTGTAACCCAATTTGGTGGAATGTGTATATTTAAAGTGAATTATCATAACTCAGCTGCCTGTGTAATGTGCTAAAGTCAGCATGCCAGCCTATACCTACCAGATTCCTGAACGCAGACTCATTCGAATGTGCTAAGTCTTCCTGCATCTCTCTCTGTTCCTAGTGTCTATTACAATGTGTCATAGAATTAATGGTGGCTGCATTGGGTTTGAATGCAATACGTGTACTGCCCACTTGCTGAGAGGCTGATTTTTTTCTTTCACAGTAGATATGACCTTGGATGTTGACACAGCTGATGAGCTCCTTGTCATTTCTGATGACCTGCAGAGTGTCCAATGTGGGCATATGGAACAGAAGCTGAAAGAACATGCTGAGATTTACCTTCAGAGTTTGGGCTCCCCTCAGTTCACTTCCAGTTGCTATTATTAGGAGGAAGATTTGGGAACAAGCACAGAATCAGACCTAGGAGCTTGCAAAGAATCTGTTCACCAGCGAGGAGAGATCAAACTGTCTACAGAACTTGAATTCTGGACACTGAGTTTGAGAAAGGGAAGGTGCTTCTCAGCCAGCACTGTGCTTCTGAATGCACTGTGGGTGAATCCCTGGTTACATAAAGCAGGGATTTTGCTGGATACTGGCATTACAAACATTACTTGTTGTTACCTTAGTGATGGATCCCATATCTTTTGTTTTTTGTTTTTTGTTTTTTTTTGAGACGGAGTCTCACTCTGTTGCCAGGCTGGAGTGCAGTGGTATGATCTTGGCTCACTGCAACCTCCGCCTCCTGGGTTCAAGCGATTCTCCTGCCTCAGCCTCCTGAGTAGCTGGGACTACAGGTGTGCACCACCACACCTGGCTACTTTTTGTATTTTTAGTAGAGATGGGGTTTCACCATGTTGGCCAGGAGGGTCTTGATGTCTTGACCTCGTGATCCGCCCTCCTCAGCCTCCCAAAGTACTGGGATTACAGGTGTGAGCCACCATGTCCAGCCTAATTTTTCTTATAAATTCTTTTTTGGCCCATTAGTCACTTTAGAATGTGTTAATTTCCACATATTTGTGAATTTTCCATTTTTCCTTCTGCTGTTGATTTCTAGTTTTATTCCATTGGATGTACAATACAGGGCCCATTTTTGCCTAATTTATATAACACCCTGTTTATATCTAGTCTCACATATTTTCTCTGTATCCACAGAAAAGTCAAGAATTTGTTATTCTTGCCTCTGGTTTGGCCTTCCCTAGAGCATTCAAAGCTTCTTTTTCTCTGTCTGGAAAGGAAAAGCTGGACAGGCCCATGGCTTAATTCTCATTCATCCATAAAGTTATTTAGACCAAGAGTTTTCCCAGTGAGCTCTGTTTTGGCCCCGCGAGTGAACCATATGTTGACAGTTGCACATGGAACAGAGGCAACAGGAAAAAAAGCCCCGTTGTGGGCTCAGTAATTATTGGCTATAAACAAATAACATGGTTTTACAGAAGAAATAAGACCTAGTATTAGATAGATCAATAGAGTGACTATAGTTTGCGATAGTCTATTATACATTTAAAAATAGCTGGAAGAGAGAATTCAAATGGTTCTAGTATAAAGAAAAGACAAATATTTAAGGTGATGGATATCCCAAGTATACTGATCGATGTTTACAAATTATATGAATGTGTGAAATTATCACATGTACTCTGAAACTATGTACATTATGCATCAATAAAAACAAAATAAAATGAAACTCTGTATGTCATTCATTAATTGAGTTCACCTTTACTAGGAGATTCTGCATATTAAAAGAACACAGAGAATATTGATTCAAGTCAGGTCCACAGGACACTGAGGGCTGTCTGCTGCTCTCCACTGAGGCTGTTGTTTTCAGCAGAGAGTGTCTATAAATGTCCTATAGGAGCAAATTAGCCCAGGCATTCACTTGACTAGTGAAACAGATGCGGTGGAAAGGGGAGGTCTCTAGGCCTCCAGGATGTAAAGGCAGAGTCCCATGCACCTGGACCCTGAGAAAAGCAGAAGGTCTGATGACACAGGGGTGGCAGAGGTGACTTTGCCTCCCCACCCCAACCCTCAGTAGGTTCCAGTCAGGAGATCTGCACATTATAAATGGACAGTGACCTGGAGCTCTTTTCTTTTTCCCCTAAAACTAATTATTCTATGTAACAACAAAACCAAACTTTGCTTATGTCTTTTAATTAACAAAAAAATTACTATACTGTAATGATAAAACCATAAATTTTATAGTTTTAGTATATGCCAGTGGAAAAAGATTATAGAAGACACAGGGCTATAGACTGAATGTTTGTGTCCCCCCAAAATTTATACGTTGAAAGCCTCCCTCCCGTGTGATGGTTTTAGGAGGAGGGGCCTTTGGTAGGTGATTGGATCATAAGGGTCATCTTATGAATGGGATTAGTGCCCTTATAAAAAAGACCCCAGAGAGCTCTCTCACCCCTTCCCCTATGTGAGGACACAAAGAGAAGGCACCATACCTAACAAGCTTCTCGGTTCATAGATGTCCTCACTGGACACTAAATCTGTCAGTGCCTTGATCTTGGACTTCCCAGCCTCCGGAACTATGAGAAATACGTTTTTGTTGTTTATAAGCCACTAACTATATGGTCTCTTGTTAAAGCAGCGTGAATGAGCTAAGACAATCAGTTTGTTCTTTGTGTTGCCTCCAGACTCTCAGAATCTGTGTGCTTCCCCAAAGCATCTGGACTTTCCATGTGCTTTTTACACATCTCCAAGCATGGCTAAAATTTAAAAGTCAGAAAATACCAATTGATGGAGAGGCTGGGGAACAACCAATCTCTTGTCCATGGCTGGCGTGAGCATCAGATGGGCATTTCATTTGGAAAACTCTTGGTCAGAATCCACTAAAGGTGGACAAAAGCATCCCTGTGCCCTTGCGAATCCTTTGATGAAGGGACAGCCAAAAGAAATGCATGCATAGATTAATGACAAATGACCAACAGGAGGCAGCATCTGCTATGGCTACGCACACAGGCTCTGGGGTCAGACAACTTCATGTTGATTCAGGCTCTGACACTTGCTGTATGGATGACTTTGCACCAATCACAGCCCTAATTTCCTCATCTACTAAATAGGGAGAATAATTGTATCTCTTTCAGAGGGTCAATGAAAGGATGACACAATAGTGTTGCTGTAACAGCACAGTACTTGGGCCATAAAAAAGCATTCCGTTCTGAGTAGATATTGTAATTATTTCCATAACCTATCTTATGATTATTATTAGCCTCTACAAAAGTACACTAAAAGGAACAAAAAGGAGGAAATAACTAGCCAATCTTGGGAAATAAGGCAATACTTGAGGGAGGAGGTGATATTCGAATGTGATTTTCTTTTTTTTTTTTTCTTTTTTTTCTTTTTGAGACGGAGTCTTGCTCTGTCACCCAGGCTGGAGTACAGTGGCGTGATCTCGGCTCACCGCAAGCTCCACCTCCTGGGTTCACGCCATTCTTCTGCCTCAGCCTCCTGAGTAGCTAGGAGTACAGGCACCTGCCACCACGCCCAGCTAATTTTTTGTATTTTTATTAGAGACAGGGTTTCAGCATGTTAACCAGGATGGTCTCGATCTCCTGACCTCGTGATCCGCCCGCCTTGGCCTCCCAAAGTGCTGGGATTACAGGTGTGAGCCACCACGCCCGGCCATGATTTTCAAATAAATCATACAACTAATATAAACTATTTGCAGAAAATCACAGAGAATCAACATGAAGATCAAGTACCAGTTTGGATCATCCAGAAGACATAAGCTACAAGGTGTTTTAAATAGGGCATGCATAATATAAAGAATGATTAAGCTATGATAGGAGAGTAACCATAAGATGTAAAGAGAACTGCAGGGAGAGTACCCAAGGAAGGAAACACTCTTAGAGGGCTCTCTCCCCAAGGATGGGCTTCAGACTTCACAGGAGAGGGTGTGGTTGGAGCCCACTGGATGGGAAGAAGCTTTATGGGTTTCCAGGGCCAGATCTGGTCCACACTCCCTGGGCTGCAGGAAACAACCTTCCAGGGTGCAGGTGAGATGCAGCTAATAGGCACACACACAGGAGCAGTCAACATGCCACTATGAACGGGAAGCCTGGAGTGTGCAGTGTCCTTATTGGGAGGGCTGGAGGAGCTGGCCATCAGGCCAGGCGGGGACTGTGAGGTTGTCCAGGGACCATGCATTCTCTGCAGGTGGCTTGGAAAGAGCACAGTCAGGAGGATGTCCCAGTAAGCAGATGTGGTCTCCCTGGGTTGTGAGGTGTCTGCACGTAGGGCCCATTTCCATGCATGGCTTCTTTTTTTTTTTTTTTTTTTGAGAAGGAGTCTTGCTCTGTCGCCCAGGCTGGAGTGCAGTGGCATGATCTCGGCTCACTGCAAGCTCCGCCTCCCGGGTTCATGCCATTCTCCTGCCTCAGCCTCCCGAGTAGCTGGAACTACAGGCACCTGCCACCATGCCCGGCTATTTTTTTTGTATTTTTAGTAGAGATGGGGTTTCACCGGGTTAGCCAGGATGGTCTCGATCTCCTGACCTCATGATCCGCCCGCCTCGGCCTCCCAAAGTGCTGGGATTACAGGCATGAGCCACCGTGCCCGGCCCATGCATGGCTTCTTGAACACTTGCCTTGACCGCCCTGCAGTGCCTCCATCTGATTTTGTCTAAACATGTGGAACCCACCCTCGCTACCAGTACTGTGGAACCAAATGCAGACTCCTTTCTGGTCTACGGGGTCCTGGCTTTCTCAACTGGCAGCTCTCCCCTTTCCAACCCATTCATTCACACGTTCTGTCCTTTTCTTTCCTCTGCAAGTTGGATTCCTTTGTTCAGCTCCTTCCCACACCACCCTCTTTCCAACCCCGCAGTTTAGCTGCCAGTCAGCATTGATTCGCTCAAGTCTTTACTTAGTGCCTAGATCCCCACTCACTGTAGATTCCAAGGAGGGGAATGTGGGTCTCATTCACTGCTGGGTCCTTAGTTCTGAAACTAGCACTGCCACATTAACAGATGCTCACAAAATTATTTCTTTCTTTTTCTTTTCTTTTTAATAATCTTTTCATCTTCAAATGATCTTTTTAATTTTAATTTTTAAATGTTTAGTTTTTGTGGATACATAGTAGATGTATATATTTATGGGGTACATGAAATATTTTGATACAGGCATGCAACGCATAAGAATCACATCAGGGTAAATAGGGTATCAATCGCCTCAAGCATTTACCCTTTCTTTGTGTTAGTAGCATTCCAATTATACTCTTTAAGTTACTTAAAAATTTACAGTAAATTATTGTTGACCATAGTCACTCTGTTGTCCTATCAAATACTAGATTTTATTCATTTTAACTATATTTTTGTACCAGTCAACCATCTCCACTTCCCCCTCCCTGTGACTAGCCTTCCCAGCCTCTGGTAACCATCAATCTAGTCTATCTCCATAAGTTCAATTGTTTTAATTTTCAGCTCCCACAAATGAGTGAAAACATGTGAAGTTTGTCTTTCTGTGCCCAGTTTATTTCCCTTAAGATAATGTCCTCCAGTGCCGTTGATGTGGTTGCAGTTCAGCCAGATAGCTGAATTATATGGATGAGTCAGGATTTATCATTGGAAGAGTATGGAAGTTTATGGGCTGAACAGTTGAGCTGCCCGGTACTTTGAGGTTCCAGGTCACTGTGTCTTTCTCAGAAGTCTTTATCTTTGGAGGAGTTACACGTCTCCAGGCTGAAACATGAAGGGCCTGGAATGGATGAGCTTTGGAACCCTCTCCAATCCTAGCTCCCATGAGGCCTGAGCCTGAACATCTCTTGGTATATCTTGTTTGCATTTTCTCTTGTCTTTGTTCTTAGAAACACTGAAAAACTTTCATACTTTTCCAGTGACAAATCCTGAATCATGCCATTATATACGTCACTATATATCTCTATATATCACAATATCTATCATTATGTATCACTATATCACTATATATCACAATATACATTACAATATATATCACAATACAGATGGCTATATATCCTGACTTATCACTATGTATCTCTCTACATACCATTATATACCACTATATATATCACTATATATATAACTATACATCACTATATATATCACTATTGTATTAATCAGGGTTCTCTAGAGGGACAGACTTAATAGGATAGATGTATATATAAAGGAGAGTTTATATTAAGGAGTATCGACTCACACGATCACAAGGTAAAGTCCCACAGTAGGCTGTCTGCAAGCTGAGGAGCCAGGAAGCCAGTTTGAGTCCCAAGACCTCAAAAGTAGGGAAGCCGATAGTGCACCCTTCAGTGTGTGATTGAAGGTCTGAGGGCCCCTGGCAAACCACTGGTGTAAGTCCAAGAGTCCAAAAGCTGAATAATTTGGAGTCTGATGATCGAGGGCAGGAAGCGTCCAGCATGGGGGAAAGATGAAGGCTAGAAGACTAAGCCAGTCTAGTCCTTCCATGTTCTGCCTGCTTTTATCCTGGCCACATGGGCAGCTAATTAGATTGCACCCACCCAGGTTGAGGGTGGGTCTGTCTTTCCCAGTCCACTGACTCAAATGTTAATCTCCTTTGGCAGCACCCTCACAGACACACTCAGGAATGATACTTGCACCCTTCAATCAAGTTGACACTCAATATTAACCATCACAACTATATAACACAATCTGTATCAGTTTATGTCACTTTATATCCCTACATATCACTATGTATCTCACTATATGTCACTGTATACCACTATGTATATCACTATATACTATTATAAATCACTGCATATCTCACTATATAATATATATTACTATATATTCCTACATATCACTATATATCTCACTACATATCACCATATACCACTATGTCTATGACTGTATATTATTATACATCACTATGTATCTCACTATATATTCCTACATATCACTATATAACTCACTACATATCATTATTGTATACCACTATGTATACCACTATAAATATCATTACATATCACTATATACCACAATATCTATCAGTGTATATCATGACATATATCATGATACTGCTACATATCACAATATATATCATTATATATCTGCATACCACTATATGTATCACTATATATTATTATACATCTCTATACATCTCACCATATCTCACTATATGTCACAATATCCCTACATATCACTCTATGTCTCACTATATATCATTGTATACCACTATGTATCTCACCATATGCATTATTATACATCACTATACGTCTCATTATATATCACAATATATATCACTATATCCATACATACCATCACATATCTCACTACATATCACTGTATACCAATATGCATATTATTATATATATTATTATACCTTACTATATATCTCACCATATACCACTATGTATAATGGAGGTTCTTCTTCCTCCTATATACACAATGTGGAGGTTTATGCATAAATGTGGACATGTCCTCCTCCCAAGGAGAGTGACCCAGACTCTTCTTGCTCCTCATTCTTTGATGCTCTGAATGACAGGGAAGTGTCACTGCCTGTGACTGACCTTCAGGAGGCGGATCTAAATTCATTCACCCATACTGAGATGTGCTAGACTTGGTGACATAGCTCCAAAGAACCGAGTATAGAGAAGGAAGAGAGTCACTTTAAGGTGGAGCAGGCTGGCACACACGACCTTGACCAAGAGATGAAGGTTAAGGTCAGCAGCGCTGCCATGTGGATCTCATAATTCTGCAGTTGCTTCTAGCTGAGGGAATACTCTTGGTCTACTGTGCACTTGAGTAACTGATGCCCTGGAATGGTCTCAGCAAACGGGCCATACAGGATTCTCCTACTAGCAGGGCTTATCCTCTATGTGTTCCTGGCAGGAGGTGTGTCCTTTTGTATGAATCAACCGAAATCTAAATCACAGGAGTCTATTTGCTGGAATCTTTAAACAGATAACTTCTCAATTAACAGGAAAATGAAAAAATTATTTTATTTATAAGGTTGATGGAAATATCCAGGGAAAATTAAAGAAAACGTAGTAATATTTGCTCTGGTGTTTTGAGTGTGCTTACTTGGGGTTACTACCCTATAAACATCTTGTCCTATCGACATTTTTTCCTCCTAACACTCAACACATTTCTTGTATGGCTTACGAAGTACACTTTCTAGGTGTGATCCAGCTTGGCAGTACAATGAGAAGCATGCCTTTATAGTCTCCTTGAAAGGTTGAGGACTGTTAATTGACTGTGGGGTGGAAATTATATTCTGAGAAGGATTTTAGCAAACATTTTGATTTCACTTATGAAACAAGTCCTTACATCATATAAGTAGACCTTATTTTTACTGGTTGTTGTTGTTTTGTTTGTTTGTTTGCTTGTTTTTTGAGATGCAGTCTCGCTCTGTCACCAGACAGTGGTGCAATCTTGGCTCACTGCAACCTCTGCCTCCCCGGTTCAAGCGATTCTCCTGCATCAGCCTCCCAAGTAGCTGGGACTACAGGCATGCGCCACCATGTCCAGCTAATTTTTGTATTTTTAGTAGAGATGGGGTTTCACCATGTTAGCCAGGATGGTCTCAATCTCTTGATTTCGTGATCTGCCCACCTCAGCCTCCCAAAGTGCTGGGATTACAGGCGTGAGCCATCGCGCCCGGCCACTGGTTGTTCTTAGTTAAGATGTTCACCTGACATGTAATGAAACTGTTGATCTATTTGATTTTCTTAGATGAGCCTGTGAATTATTATGGGTATCACTAGTTTTTAAGTTTTCTTTCTCCTAAACTGAAAAGCAGGGGTATATTTTCTGCTGATGAGATATTAATTATGATGATTGCTAGGCAGTCAAGACTTAATTCTTTTTCTTTTTTTGAGACAGGGTCTCTCTCTGTCACCCAGGCTGGAGTGCAGTGGCACAATCATAGCTCACTGCAGCTTCCAACTCATGGGCCCAAGGGACTTTCCCACCTCAGCCTCCTGAGTAGCTGGGACTACAGGCTCTCGCCACCATGTCTGGCTAGTTAAATTGGTTTGTTTGTTTGTTTGTTTGTTTTTTGTAGTGATAGGATCTCCCTGCATTGCCCATGCTGGTCTTGATTTCCTGAGCTCAAGCAATCCTCACACCTTGGCCTCCCAAAGTTCTGGGATTACAGGCATGAGCCACACCACATTACGCCAAAACTTAATTCTTAATCCTATTTTGTTACCTTCAATATCAGCTGAAATTGAAACAAACACTCAGGCACAGACATACAAACAAGAAAGCCTGGCTTTTGTTTTCTTTTGTTTTTTAGTGGCAGGGTCTCAGTCTGTCACCCAGGCTGGAGTGCAGTGGTGCTATCAGAGCTCACTGCAGGCTTGAAGTCCTGGGCTCAACCAGTCTTCTTGTCTTGTCCTCCCAAAATGCTGAGATTACAGGCATGAGCCACCATGCCCAGCTTTTTTAAAAAAAATGCCTTTTTGGGTAAAAGCCAAATAAGACAACCAAAGCCATGTATCACTACTGTGCTATGAAAATGAGTCTCAGTAGTTCTTTAATATAAACATTCCTATGTAGAAGTAAGTAATGCAAACGGCCCTGTTCCAAAGTCAAAAGGAATTTGACTTTTGCATTATTTTTAAAAAATAATTAAAATCAGAGTTATTTTTAAATTCTTATTCTAAAAATAGGGAAGAGAAATTGCCTAAAAAATACAGCGGTGGATAAAAGAAGAGAGATTAAAATTTCAAATGGATTTGGGAAGTTAAGTGCTGATTAAAGGAGAGATATCAGTTTGTAAGGGATTATCCCTGGGCCTAATTGTTTGAGGATGTGCAGGCTTGTAGGAAATGGGGAGGACAGACAGGCTGTATTAGAATGCCTGTGTCAGGAGGAGAATGGAAGGCTCTTGAAGACAAGGGTGGTTGCTTGTGTTTCTGTTGAATCCCCACTAAATGTAATTTTTCTTTTGGAGACATTGGTGTATGGGCACAGTTCTCAGCAGAGTGCTAATGTCTGGGGAAAATGGTTAAAAACTGAAAAATTACCTTGGCAGTCTGAGGACAAAGCCACAAAACCATAAATTGTTTGGGGGCTTTCTTCAGCTTCACACCTACCAGAAAACTTCTTACCTTTAGAGTTTTCTTATCTATCAAAGGATAAGGTTGCAGTGGTTATTGCCGTGAAAGCTCCCCAAATCTAATTTGCTTTTATCCTTCCCACTGATCTTTCTCCTGCAATTAAAAATGATGAACTGTTTCTGGATTTTGAATTAGGGATTTTTCGTTTCTGTATAATTCTACCTCTGAGGTATTTTGCATTTTCTCTGGGTATATGCCATTAAAGGAGATTTGGATTGCAATTTGGCTGCTTCTTAGGAGAGCAGACAGAATATCACACCATTTTGTTTTTTCTAGTTGCAGCTTTTCATTGATGAAAGCAAAGTTTTGAGTTTGTGAAGTTCTGACATAATTCTTGCTCTTCTGCAGACACATGAAGTGAGTGGTACATCAGAGCGAGTTTTGGAATATACTTGGTCTAGTGGTGAAAAATGACCAGTGCTATGATGACATCCGGGTTTCTCATGTGACCTGGGATAGTTCCTTTTGTGCTGTCCATCCCAGATTTGTTGCCATAATCACACAAGTGAGTGGGGGAGGAGTGTTCTTTGTGCTCCCTCTGCACTAGATGAGAAATTTGACCTTCCATTCTGTTAGACATCTTCTGGTAGTCTCTCTATTTTTTTTCATAATTGATTGACTTTAGAGATTGACCACTCACCAAGTACTGTTGGATTGATGGGGCCATTAAATTCTGATGTAGGTGAGGTTGAGTTCCACATGACTTGCTAACCCCATTCGTTTTTCTCTAGCAGGAAATCATTAGATAATGGTGACATCTGTTCTGGGTGTGTCCTCTATGGATGAAAAAGGTTACCATAATGATGCTGTGAGCACAGGTAGGCAGAGGAATTGTATGATTTAATCCAGAATAATCCACTTTTCATAAAAGTGGAATACAGTTTTAAAAAGTTATGCTTGTGCTCCAAAGTAAAGTTGTAAAAACAATTATATTTTTAATTGGGTGGAAATTTGTAAGATAACGTTCTCTTCCTTATGAAGTCATGAAGGCTGAGACTTCTTGTTCTTTTCCAATAGCAAATGGGATGAGAGCAAAAGAAAGTATTTCAAAACAAATACAGATTTCAAGTCTAGACATAGGATTCAGCATAGGATTTACTAAACAGTATTAACAAGTGGCAGAAATAAAGGGTCTTTACTGAAAGTGGTTCTGTGGGTTCTTCAATTTCAGTTGGCTTCCAAGCCATACTCCTTCCTTCCTTCCTTTATCCTCCCAGAGAGCCACTCCAAGGTGGGAGGTTAGATAGGAATTCCGTACATTTGCTGACCAATCACGAATACTGCAGATCAAAATTTGCACTTACTTTATTAGCAAATTCTGGAATTGCAAATAATGAAGAAAAAAAAAGCTATGAAGAGGGCCTAGAAACAGTTGTTTTTTTAGTTAGCTGATGTGGTTTGGATTTGTGTCCCTGTCTAAATCTCATATTGAATTGTAATCCCCAGTGTTGGAGGAGGGACCTGGTGGGAGGAGATTGGATGGTGGGGTGGATTTTCCCCTTGCTGTTCTTGTGATAGTGAGTGAGTTCTCGCGAGATCTGGTTGTTTGAAAGTGTGTAGCACCTCCCTTCTCTCTCTCTTTCTCCTGCTCCAGCCATGTAGGCCATCCCTGCTTCCCTTTCACCTTCCACCATGATTGTAAGTTTCCTGAGACCTCCCCAGCCATGCTTGCTGTACAGCCTGTGGAATCATGAGCCAATTACACCTCTTTTCTTTATAAATTACCCAGTCTTGGGTAGCTCCTTATAGCAATGTCAGAATGGACTGATACATTAGCTTTTAGGAGAAATATGAGTTTGGTAAGTCCTGAGCTCCCGTGATAAGGACTTGGTACTGGTGAGGATGCCGATGTTGAGTTGCATGACAGCTGTTTCCACTCTGCTTAAAAACACTCAGCTCCCTCCTAAGCCTGAGCCCCATATATTAAGGGTACATCTCATCATCATGGACCATGTGATTCTGAGAGTGGTTACAATAAAGTGAATTTCTGTTAAAGGATTGTTTCCCATTGAATTTTTTTCTTTAATTCTCCTTTTATTTTGGAAAAATTTGAACATATACAAAAGTGGAAATACTATAATGAACCACCACGTACCATTAATCAGCTTCAACACTATCAAGTCCAGTGTTTCCTTTCTCTGCCACTTCCAACTCGATTACTCTGAAGTAAATCCCACAGATATCACTTCATTCATAATTAAGTTATGTACCCCTATAATGCAAACTCTTTCCTTTTATTTACCAATTTGAAAATAATGAATCTGTTCCCAAGTATCCTACAAAGATGATTACTGAGTTCTTTTAAGTATTATTTTGAACTCGTTAAACATATCTGATGCAGGATGTGCAAACTGTCTATCTTTTGCCAACAGGAGCCTTTTCATGTTGCTTGAGTTCTTCTGACATGGCCCTAGTAATCCTTGCTAGCTTCCTTAATCTTTCATATGACCTTGTTGATGTGACCATGTTCCCACATTATTTGAACATTTCCTGACCCAGTTCTGGAATCAACGACCTCTCCAAAGAGCCTGGAGTTCCTTTTAGAGAGAATGGTATGTAGACACAATCAACAAAATCTTCCTCCCATGCCCAACACCTCAGTTCTCAGTAACACCAACATAATTACTCATTTGCTTTATCCCCCAATACACACACAACCATCTCAAAATAACAGCAACAGTCTAGTAATAACATGTTTATTGAAAATACTAACACTGTTACGTTCTTTTCATTCTCAGGGTATATTCCACTAGAGATGTATTGCCCTATGTTTTGAAGTCACCTAGAAGAGTTCTTAGTGTGGGTATATGACTACATCAAGAGTTTTTTACTTTTGATGATTAGGGACTGCTTCTTAAAACTTATTTTAAAACTGATTTTAGTATCTTAAAATACTCACACAGTTCCGAAGTCACATTTACATAAACAAGGCATATTTGAAGTCCAGGTTTCATCCTTGACCCTCCTACTCTAGGCTCTTCCTTCTCCTAAAGGTAAGCATTTTCATTCTTTATCCTTTTCATCTTATTGGTATGAACACATGTGTGTCCCCTTCCAGGCAGTCTTCAGTAATGTCACATGTTCCCATGACACCTGTATTGTACTCTTATCAGTCATTACATGGAATTTATCTTCCATAAGTATTATTTGGGGTCCTCCATGAGACTGTGAGCATGACCACTGGAGGGTTGCTTCCCATTATATCCATATTATCAAGCACAAGGTCAGGCACAGAGTAAGACTCAAACATGTTTTGGAATGTATGACTGGTATGAACTACAAACCAGTAAGCTGATGTTTTCATTTTGAGTCTATAAATCTAATGTTTATGGTGGCTTTGTGTATGGCTCAAGGCTCAAATTGTAAAACTTAACATTATGTGACCAAAGCAAGTTATACCCAGAACCTCAATTTCCTCACCTTCAAAACGGGGCAGAGTTTCTGACTTACTGGTCTACTCTCAGGATTTTAATTAGCTCATGCAAAAACAGCCCTTTATATAAGGTTAAGTGCTGGATAAATGTTGGCTACTATAATAAAATAAGCCTCTAAGATACTTGGTCAGCACAGGCACTACCCAAGAGTATGCACTGCAGATAAACTGACAAAATTGTGTATCTAAAACTGGCCAGATGAAAGAGAAACTTTTAAGGGGCCCTTCTGCATGCCCGACACTGTGCTAGGCACTCACACTATCCCGACCTGAGAAAAAGATCTGGGACCCAGAGGAACTTACCAAGCCTCCAGCATCTTGTGTAGCCCTACTCGTGGGACCATCTGGATACCCGCCTCCTCTTGTCTTTATAGGGAGCAGAACACACCTGATATATGTCAGGAAACAAAGTCCAGGAAGTATATTTTCACCTGAGGCAATCCTTGAAAATTGTAGGCTCCAGCCTCCAAAGTGAGTCTTCCTCTCAGTACCTCTCTTCTAGACACATTGAGACCTTTCTTCCAAGCATTAAGTTTAACCACTTAATGAATGAAGTCCTGAAACTGCTTAACCATGCTCCCTATAATATCTGAATAATCTTCCTTTTCCGCAACCTCAGGCATAATCTCATCTTGTTTCTATTACAATTTCAAATTCTGGAAAAAGGAAGTTGTGGTCTGGAGTTGTAAGGTCCAAATGATCTGGTTGTGCACAAGCCTGCTTATGTCCCAATCTCCAGTCTAGGGTCTGATGCTCCTTGCTGCAGTAATACGCTTTGTGGCATCTGGAGCAAGTTTTGGGGCCTAAACAGCCACAAACACTGCAGAGATGAGCACCAGACTTAAGTTGGAGATACACCGATTCTCCTGTTTCTGGGGAAGGATTCTCAGAAGGTGGCTCATATGAGTAAAAATCATTTTTCCTGGGTAGCTGATTCCTAGAAACTCGCAGGGCGGCACAGCACGGCGGCTCGTGGCAGCAGAAGAGGAAGATGCCGCGGTGGAAGGCGTCTTCGCGGCCGGGCAGCGACGCGTACACCTGCCGCCGGAAGAAGAGCGACGGTCGCACAGCTCTCAGGCCGGGGGCCGGAGCCCCGGCAGCCCGGCCGCGCCCATCCACGCCCAGCCACGCCCAGCCACGTTGGCCGCCCGCCCAGCCTGCTGGGAAACTGCTCGCTGCGCATTCGCCCGCCGGCGCCGACTTGGCGATGGCCAGCTACACAGGTCCGGCGGGGGCGGCAGCCATGTGGGGCGCGGGCTGGCGTGGGGAGCAGCCCACAGCTGGGCCTCCCATTGAACTTTGATGTGTTTTTCTTTGGAAAACTTTCAACTCTCTTGTATTTTTCTCTCCAAGATACTCCAAGTATATTTTCACCTGTGAGGCAATATCTGAAAATTGTAGGCTACAGCCTCCAAAGTGAGTCTTCCTCTCAGTACCTCTCTTCTGGACACACTGAGCCCTTTCTTTAAACTCTGATTTTTACTTTCTTGACCGACTTGTTATAACATGACACAATAAAACCATCTTGTTACAGAAATTGGGAAAAGGATGTTTTGGGGGAACAGGTTTGATACGTTTCCAATGCACCTTCTTTTTTTTTTTTTTTTTTTTTTTTTTGAGACGGAGTCTCGCTCTGTCGCCCAGGCTGGAGTGCAGTGGCGGGATCTCGGCTCACTGCAAGCTCCGCCTCCCGGGTTCACGCCATTCTCCTGCCTCAGCCTCCCAAGTAGCTGGGACTACAGGCGCCCGCCACTACACCCGGCTAATTTTTTGTATTTTTAGTAGAGACGGGGTTTCACCGTTTTAGCCAGGATGGTCTCGATCTCCTGACCTCGTGATCCGCCCGCCTCGGCCTCCCAAAGTGCTGGGATTACAGGCGTGAGCCACCGCGCCCGGCTCCAATGCACCTTCTTATTGGCAATATTGATAATCAAAATGCAAGGAGAATCTTTTAATTAAGTTGAATTTTATTTTTCACTCGGATTCTTAAATATTTCTGCTGAAGGAATTGCTAAGAGGCCACTTAGTACAGTAGACTATTATAAGTGAACTTGATGATTTTGGAGTAGGCTTTGAACTTAATGACAATAGCATTCCATTATTTTTTAGTTAATTCGTTCAATGAGAGCAAAGGACATTTAGAAACTTCATATTTTCATGTTGAGTTTTATGGTGAACAGCTAAGACAGCCACAGCTTGTCAATCAAGATCAGACACTAGAACGCCCTTATCTGTTTTGGAGTTAAGAGTTTTTATTCCCCTTTTAATAGACTGAAGGATAAATTTAAGGCACTTCTTTTTTTACTTAAAAGAAATGGAGCAATTTAGTTAAAACAATCAAAATAAACTTTTGAATGGTTAATCTTCATCTGAGATCAGATAGTTCCCTTCAACTTCCAAATTCACAAAAGGCTCTGTGAGTCTGTCTTTGCATTTGCAAGCCATGGGAAACTTTGAATTTCACTTTTACCATTTAAAGGAGACCTGTGTGCAGTTCTTATCTAACTGGATCTTATTATTTGGTTTATATTTCTATTAAGTGACTTCCATTTCATGTACATGTGTACATATATACATACATATGTATATGTTTAATTGCCTTTCAGAATTAGGATAAACTATGTTACTTTACAAATTATTATGTGTACCTGAAGTGTTGCTTTTTGGAGGAGTCTCAAGGATTTTTCTCAGGCTATCATATTGTTTGTGTGGCTTTGCTCATTAAATAGTTATTTGTTTTGGAGGAGGTGACATTGGTGTAAACTAAGCCCTGTGACAACCATTAGAAATAAGGTTCCTACTTGGGGTTATTTATTTTTTTTACTGTGGCAAAATTTGCCTGACATTAAATTGACCATGTTAAAGAGTACAATCAGTGGTACTGTGTGCATTCACAATGCTGTACAATAAACACCTCTATCTAGTTTCACAACATTTTAATAAGCCCCAAAGGAGACCTCCATACCCATTAGAAGTCATTCCCCATTTCCCTCATCCCCAGGCTCTGGCAACCACTAATCCGCTTTCTGCCTCTGTGGATTTACCTACTTTGGATATTCCATGTAAATGGAATAATACAGCATGTATTATTTTTTGAATGGCTTTTAAAAAAATAGTATGATTTCCAGGTTTATCCACATTGTAGCATGTACTAGTAATTACAATGGACTGAATGTTTCTGTTACCCCCAAACTCATATGTTGAATCCTAACCTTCAACGTGATGGTATTAGGAGATGGAGCCCTGGGTATGCAATTAGGCATGAGGGCAGACTCCTCATGAATGGGATTAGTACCCTTATAAAAGGGACCCTAGAGAGCTCTGGCATCCTCTTTCCACCATGTGAGGGCATAGTGAGAAGTCAGCAGTCTGAAATCCTGAAGAGGCTACTAACCAGAACCTGACCATACTGGCACCCTGGTCTAGGATTTCCAGCCTCCAGAACAGTGAGAAATAAATTTCAATTGTTTGTAAGCCACCTAGTCTATGGTATTTTGTGATAACAGCCCAAACTAAGACAGTACTTCATTCCTTTTTATGGCTGAGTAATATTCCACTGAATGCATAGACCACGTTTTGTTTATTCAGTCTTGCAATGATGGATTGTGGATAGTGGATAGTCTCATGTTCCCTCTAGATAGCTCTGGGCCTGGGAGCTCTCAGAAGGATATCTGTGGGAGCAGAACCTGTCTTGTGAGTCAAAAACTTAGGTTTCCCCTTCTTTTCTTTTTTCCTCGGTTTCTGTTCCTTGCTTAGTTACTGCCTAGGCTTGGCATCAGCAGCTGCTAGAAATCTGAACCACTATCCACGTTGCCAGGAAGTGTACAAATTTGCCTTATAGGGATGACTGCCCTTTTGATATCTACCTTATAATTTTGGTGTAATAATTAATATTTGGATAAGGATGATAAGTTTTTCATGTTACAGATGACCACCCAGGTGAGAAAAGCTGCTTTTGAGTGTTTTTCTGTCATGTTTTTTGAGCAGTAAATCTTAATTCACTTCAGTCAGTATTCTAAGTGTGTAATAATGACCCTTGGTGGTCTCCTTCTTACTCTCCTAGACCCAGCTCAAATATTACTTATTCTGATTCCCTGAGACGAGGAAGTCATCTTTTGGGCTCTCTTAGGAACCTGTCTGTACCACTAGTTCCCCATTTCTGGTTAAGCATGTGTCTGTGTCTGTATGTGTGTGCGTGTGTGTGTACATGCGCACATGTGGAGATTGCACAATAATCAATATATGTTATTTTAAACTGATAAATTTGTGGTAATTTGCTACACGATCATCTGTAGCAATTACATTAAGTAACCTGTGAAAGGCTGCCCAACTCCTCAGTGATGGAGCTGTGAAGAATGAGAAGAGGGAACCAACATACTTCTTGGAAGATTCTCAGCCACAGGAACTGAAAGGCAAAGGATTTTCTGATTAGTACTCAAATAACTGGAAAATTCAATTAATCAGAGCCTCATTCCAGGCCCTAAGATTCATCAGGAGTTTCTGGATTTGAAATCATAGTTTCTGTAGCAATTGGGACAAACACTGGGGCTACCTTGATGCAGCTGAGAAGTACAGTGACTGCAGAGCTGGGGGAAGAAAGTTCTACATCAGATGCATGCAAAGAGCTGATTCAGAACAGCTTAGCTTTTCCATTTTGGAAATGTGGTTGGGGTTTCTTATTGAGGAGCAGCTATCTGACTTTGTGCCTCTGCTATATTTCTCTCCATTGAACCACATGGGCTGAAAAATTACATCTCTGGGCTATGACCTATTCCTTTTAACAACAAAGAATGACTCTGTGCAGGTGGCCACCACCACCACTACCAAGGTTACAATAGCAGCTCACAGTCATTTCAACCTTTCCTGAATCTGACACAGAGCCCACCTATGAGAGCCATGGAATATATGGGCAGGCTCATAATTTGGCACCCTTTAGTCATCATTCTGCAATATTTACTTGTCATGTATTTATTGGAGGTCAGGAAAATGAAATTGCTATTAATATACTCATACACCTTTTTCAGACTTAGAACTTGGATTAGATTCTTCACACAAAACAGGAAAGGAGAAAAAGTAGGAAAGGAGAAAAATAGGAAAGGAGAAAGAGTTGATTCTAGTCACTCACACCCAGCAGCCAACACAGAGTCAACGACCTGAAAGTATGGGGCAAAATATTCTCTCCTTTTCTCTACTCCATTTCCTCACTTCACTTTTCCTTTGCAGCTTCTTAGGAAACAGATTAAAGGATCAACATTTGGATCATGAAATAAACCACATTTCCAGGAGAAAGCTCTGTATTATGGCTGAGTGCAGTGCAAATCCTCAACAGACAAGAGTTGTTGTTGTCTGTTGTCTCAGCACACTAGTGATGAGAGTCTTCCATTTTTTCACTCATGTTTGCTGTTTTGTCTGGAAGAGGTGTCTGATTTGCATTGTGCCAGTTCTGAGTGTGTGCAAACCTGAGATAACTGGCTACGCATTGCCAGTCTAGTCTAGGGCTAGATTTTGTGCTCCCTGCCTGAGTGGCCTATGTCTTAACCTTGTCAGTCTCTGCTGAGCACTTTGAAGAAGGCACCTCATGTTTTCCTCCCTACCACTCTCTGAGGCAGGTACTGTTGTTGACCCCATTGCCCAAGCTCACTCAGCCATTAAATGGCAGTGCTGAGATTTGAACCCAGCACAGCCTGCCCCAGAGCCTGTGCTCTGGGATTCAGCACTAGGATTCAGCACTTCCTAGGAGCTCATTTAGTGTTGTTGAGGGGTGGCCACATCAAAGGTAAACCCCAGTGTAGCCAGTATGAAAGCAAATGTGAGCTGCTTTGTTGGGAGAAGCAAGGCAGGGAAGGTGTGGGGAGGTATACATGCGCCTGAGCCTCTGTCACAAGTGACAGACTCCCTAGAGGCTAAAGAACCAAGACTTTGGCATATCTCAGATTTGGACAATACTCATTTGTTTTTATACATTCAATTCATTCATTCATTCAATAGGTATTTATCAGGAGCTCAGAGAGCTCTGTGGAGGGTCCCACTGACTCAAACTCCTTCTTCCTTCTCTGAAAATGTCCCTTTACCACCTGGCTGCTTCCTCCTTCTTTTGATATCCAGCTCCAATTTCAACTTCCCCAGCCTTGGTTAGTGTTCCCTCTAGCGTGTATTTCTTAAGTTCTCATTATTGGTTCTTCATCCATTTGTCTCACTAGATTGTAATTGCCCCGAGAAAAAGACTTGCCTTTCAGCTCTCTATGCTCAGTGCCCAGCATAGAGGTCTAGCACAGAATCATCACTCGATACATGTTTTAATAAACTGATATAAAGCACTTGCCTTTTTCTACCATGTGTAAGATGACTTTCCTGAGTGGCGACATGGTTTACAAGGGTTGCATTTTTAGCACTTGGGTGGGGTGGAGACACAGCTTGGGCCTCGGGGTCAGCCCAACTTGTGGTAGAATTGTAGCCCTTGTGGTTTAGACTAGAATCCAGCTTATCTTCTGTACCCAAGACCTGTTATTAATTACTTGGGTGACTTCAGGCAAATTACCTGAGATCTTTATCCCTGTCCATCACTTGTGAATGCGCACTTTATAGGGTGGGTATGAACTTTTTACCCTTATTTTAGTTAAAATATCATGAATTTTGTAGTCTCTTTCTGCAAACAGCCCTCCATGCTAAATCTTGAAAAAAGGAAGATACATACTTAGAGGTACTCTGCTTCTTTTAGGCAGAAGTTGATTCTTTTAAGATGAAAAGAATTAATCTGAACTATGTCACATTCTAGACTTAGGATTAAGCTTTTTTCCTTCCCTTTTTAAAAGATTTTTAAACATTTCCAACTTTGAAGTTCAGCGGTGCCTGTGCAGGATGTGCAGGTTTGTTACGTAGGTAAACCTATGCCATGTGCCACAGTGGTTTGCAGCACACATCATCCCATCACCTAGGGATCCATTGGCCATACTTCCTGATGCTCTCCCTCCTCCCACTCCCCACCCTCCGACAGGCCCCACTGTGTTGTTCCCTTCCATGTGTCCATGTGTTCACATCATTTAGTTCCCACTTATAAGCCAGAACAGGTGGTATTTGCTTTTCTGTTCCTGCGTTTGTTTGCTGAGGATAATGGCCTCCAGCGCCCTCCACATCCCTGCATAGGACATGATCTCATTCCTTTTTATGACTGCCTAGTATTCCATGGTGTATATGTAGCACATATTCTTTATCCAGTTAGACTTAATTTTCTATTGATTACAGAAGAGAGTTTTCTTCCTTGTTTGCCCCAGGCCAGGAGACTTGATGCTGGGCCTATGTTCTCTAGGTAAGATATATGTGTAAGTGATTTGTCCAAGTTTGAATTAAAAGCAAAAATGTTTGAAAAAGCAATCCACATTAAAAAAGACTAAACGTGTAGAGTCTGGACTTCTAGGGATGATCCAGTCTACTCCAAGTCAGAGACCTGTGCTTACAGGCAGGGATGAGTCCCCCGCCTGTGCCTTCCCTGGGGCCACTTGATCCTGGGCTTAAACCCAAACCATCCCTTAAACCCCAAACACTATTTAATACTGAGTCCTTTTAGCCATTGAGCTGTGCTGCTTTCCACACCCCATTAGGTAGGTTACAGGAAATTTTAATCCGTTAAATCTGTCACTGCTCATGTAAGTCAATACTCTCTTCACACTTGATTTATGGAGCAGAGACATGAGAATTCTTATTGTACAGAAGCAATAACAAAGCTTTATTATAAGTTACACAGAAGACACACAAGGGTTCTGGGGGAAAAAACGGGAGAGGAGAGTCAACTGTAGGCAGCAGGGAGTATCCCACCTGCTTCAGGACTGGAGTGAAATAAACCAAGGGCCCTCTGTCTATTGCTATGAGGACTCTGACCACTGGGATAAGACAATTGAAGAGCCTCACACCACCTACTTTCAGACTAAATCTTCAGGGAAGGGGTGGGACTGGAATGCTACCTCTGTCTATTGCTATGAGGACTCTGACCACTGGGATAGGACAATTTAAGAGCCTCAAACTACCTACTTTCAGACTAAAGCTTCGAGGGAAGGGGTGGGACTGGAATGCTATATCTCTAGCCCTCCAGGATGGCAGAGGTAGGGGCTAGCCTTGCATTTCCCAACTAAACAGGCTCACACAAAGTCCAGCCTGGGGGGATGGGTGGGCACTGGCTCCAGGAAGTTCTCCTCTCAGACCAGCATTTCCCTCTTGGACCCCAAGGGAGTGGAACCCAACCTGGAGGAGGAAGGCCCTGCAGAACCCTGGACAGGGGATGAGGGAGACCTAAAGGTGAGGTTCTGCCTTTCTGTGCCCACATGGGAAGTACGGTTCCTAGGGTCAGAGGCTGGCGCAGGCATGCACCTAGGGGCAGCCTTGCTTGCAAGTGGTATTAGGCCCCCAACTTGAAATGTGGGGTTTCTGCTTGGGTAGCCCTCTAGGGATGTGGCTTAAAAAGCATGGGCAACAGTGCCTGCGAACAATTATTCCTGGCGCTGGGTCCCATGGTTTGGGTGCTCTGGCTACAGGGACTACTGCTGTTCAGGCCCAAGCTTCCCCCACGAAGTGTGTGGTGCTTGGGACCCCTCTCTTTTTTGCTGCAGTGCTCTGTATCTGCCTGATGATGAGGAGGGAGCAGGGTCAGCAAGGCTGAGACCAGGAAGTATGAAGAGGTGACTGGATGGAGCTCTAAGGGGGAGAACAGGGGCCCTGGTGAGCTGTGCTTCCTCCCAGACACAGGAGGCATAGAGGTAGCCACTGCAGCAGATTCCAGGAGGGCTACTGGGCCTGGGCAGTCTTGCGTCCTGCGTCCCTCCTCCTGTGCATTAGTCCCAGAGGGTGGAGGGGGTCTGGAGAGGCAGTGGGCAGAGGAGCCATTGCTGCCGCAGGTGGTGGCAAAATATGGGAAGGCTGCAAGGCTCCCCAGTCCCGGATGGCCTTGGCCTCACCCCACAATGCACTTTTGATGCATAGCAGCACTGTTTCCTTCTCCAGGTCCAGGTCTTCAGCCGTGAGTCGGAACCCCAGCTGGGAGGGAGGTACAGCGTCAGAGGCTCCCCTCGCCTGCATGGCAGCAGAGGAAACTTGCATCGAAGGGGCCAGTACTGTGGATGCGAGGGAGCCATTCTTGGAGGTGAGTTTCTGCCCTTGTGTTGCATCTGCTGCCTTTTCACTCCAGATCTTCCTCTGGGAAACCTCTGTAGCCAAAGAGGGAGACCAGGGTCCCTCCTCACTCACTGTCTTTGAGCTCCGGAGGGGCAGCCGGGAGAGGAATGAGGCTGGCCCCCTCCTCCTCTTCAGTGGCGGGAAACCTCCTGTGGTGCTGTGTGAGCTGGAGACAGCATTTTGGGGGCAGGAGCTCACCTAGAAAGGCTGGGATTTCTTGTTCAATCTGACTTCTGATTTCTGGGCATGGAGGTCTCTCTGCAGAGGCCCAGACTTGGGCACGACAGAAGAGAGGCCTCCATTGACCCTCAAGGACCTAAATGTGATCTGTGCACCCCCAGTATCATCAGGCCCCTTTCTCTAATTATCGAGAACCTCTGTGACTCCAAGGTCCTTGTCCTGCTCAGGTATCCATTTCCTCAGGGTCCATTTGAGGGCCCTCAGAGGGCCTTCAAAACCAAAAACAAAACACAGGGTCTGCAGTATCTTAGGATGTTGTCTCCAAGAGGCTCTAAGAAAAGCCAGTGTAAAGTCACTGAATTCTTGGAGTTGGTCCAGGACCAAGGGTAAGTGCAGAAGCCGGGGCAGCCAAGGAACGGGCCAAGGGCAGGCAGCCAGCTGCCCTGCCAGCCCCCTGCAGGGGGCGCTGTGGAGCAAAGCTTTCACGGGTAACGGGCAAAGGGGAGCAGTAGTGTCAAGTCAGGTCTTGGCAGCACAGCGAGGTTGGCGAGTTCTCCTTGGCTGCCAACTCAGCCAAAGGCTCATCCTGCACTGTTGGGCCTGTTGCTGGGATGCACCTTTGGAATGTGTGAGCCAAGAATGGGCGCGCATGCTCATGGAACCCGCAAGGAAGGCGCACCGGGGAGGAAAGGGAGGGGGCAGAGATCACCCTAGGAATGTGCACAGGGGGCAGCTGCCGGTGGAGGGTGTTTGGTATGAGGGAGACAGGCTCATGGGGAAATGCAGCTGGCCCTCCCGCACTGGGGCCCCAGCGCTGACAGGGGACGGCGTAGGACGGGGATCCCTTGGGCTAGGAGGGCGAGAACTGCTGCGCCATCAGGTGGCAGCTTTGGGGTCAGCACCCTCGAGATGTCCTGCCCTTTCTCCAGCGGAATTGGGAAGAGCCCCTCAAGGGCTAAACAGATTCTGACGGGGTCTCTTGTGGTGGGGAGGACAGGTGGAGAGAGACATGCTTCCCTTATAACCCAGCAATCCTGTTCCATGTATTTGCCCAAGAGAAATGAAAACTTCTGGGTGGATGTTTATTCACCCATAACCTGTATGTAGATGGTTTTGGTTGCATTAGTCTTATCTCCTTGACATAGGACTTTTCATTTTATCCATTTTGTCTTGAATGTGTATGGAATTATTTTTAGGTGGTTGTTCTGGGGATTAGAATATTTATGCCACACTTTTCAGTCTAATAAGAGGTGTATCTTACCAACTCGAGTAATATGTGAAAGCCTAACAGTCATATACATTCATGTGGCTCTTTATGTTATGGTTGTCATATGTATTCCATCTACAAGCCTTGAAGCCCCACATCCCTTTCAAATGATGATATGTTTTCATGGTTTGGAAGCAGCTCATCCTGGAAGCGCAGAACCTGCCAGGCGTCTTGCACTTCCTCCTCCCAGTCCCCCTAGGGTTAAAGGCTGCACTCTAAGAAGGCACTAGCCTGTCCCCAGGAGTCTATCCAGATCCCTGGAGGGCTCCATTTCTGCAGGACGAGGCTACCCCTTGGAATAAATCCTCTCTGCTTCTGCCCAGCCCTGTAAGGGGCACCTTCCATTCTTTCTCCAGCAGGCTTTCCTCTGCTGACAGGGAAGGAGACAGTGTGGGGCAGAGAGGGATTTATCCTCTTCTCCTTGGGCTGAGGAGAGGGCTGGGAAGTCCTCCAGGCAGCATCTAACTTCCTCACTCTTTGGGCTGCTGTAAGTGGCCTTCCAGGTCCTTCCTGCTATTTTCATGTTCAAAAATTGAAATTTGAGTTTTCTGAGCTGGAATTTCCTCTGTTTAAGGCTGCTAGGAAAAATGGCTGCCAGGGGTCCTGTAAAGCAAAGCTTGCTTGGAGAATGGGCGAAGATGTATGTGTAAGTGATTTGCTCAAGATTATGCAACCTCCCTGGGCATAGCCCCCACTTCCTTGGGAATTTCCTAGCATGTCCTGGAACGGGCCTCCATCATTCCCCATTTCCTGCTGCATGAGGAGACATTGCCCCCTACATGAACTAGATAGTGTAATATCTGCCCCTGGTGTGTCCGGAATTGGTTCCTTCTGGTGGGTTCTTGGTCTGCTGACTTCTAGAATGAAGCCACGGACCCTCGTGGTGAGTGTTACAGTTCTTAAAGATGGTGTGTCCGGAGTTTGTTCCTTCAGATGTTCAGATGTATCCGGAGTTTCTTCCTTCCAGTGGGTTCGTGGCAGCATCCAATCACTATGGAGCCACTGCTTACTGACACCTAGCCCCAAATGACCAACCTAAAACTGACACCCCACAGTTCCCCCATGGTGCATGCTTTTTGTCCCTGCAAGGAGTAATAAACCCAACTTGCTCCACTGCACATGTGTTCCTGGAGGGTATTGACTGGCCTCTTGAGGGGCTGCCTGGGCTCTGCCTCTGTCATCATGTAAAGATGATGGTGATCGACAACACAGGGTTTTCTGTGTGCTGGGCGCTGTTTTGAGTTCCTCGCATATACTCATCTGCATTTTATCCTCACAACAGCTCTGAGGAGGGGGCACTATTCTTATCTCTGTTTTGCAGATGGAGGAGCTGAGACACTCAAAGGATTAACCCCCTGGCC